>NC_000013.11:72195984-72347499 GCF_000001405.40 Homo sapiens | reverse complement strand
AATTCTTGTGGCATTTGACAATCTGATTTTAAAATTTGCTTAGGAGAGAAAAGGCACAAGATAACTGATTATTTTTGGAAAGAGAAATGCAAAGTAACTTACTTTTAACCTAGGTATTATTTATACAGAGTGAAACTGAGAGGTCCTAAATATACTGTTTGACCAGTTTTGATAAAAGGATACACCCACATAGCTTCCAGCCCAGTCAAGACTAGATCACTTTCAACATCCCAGAATGTTTCCTCAGGTGGTTGTCTAGGCATCCCTTAACTCCAAAGAAGACAGTATCTGTGATAACATTTATCATCACAGCTTGAGTTTTCCTGTTCTAGAACCTCATAAAAAATGTACTCATGCAGTATCTGCTTTTTTGTGTGTCTGGCTTTATTCACTCAATATAACGTTTTTGAGATTCACGATTGTGATGCGTATATCAGGAGTTTGTTCCTGTTTATTGGCAAGTAATATTCCATTGCATGAAACTACCACAATGTGTTTGTCTCTTCTTCAGTTGAAGGACATTTAGGTTGTTCTGACTTTTGGCTGTTTCTCCGGAAACGTTCTAATCTGTTCCTTTGATCTTTTGTTACCCTTGCTGAATAGGCTGGGTGTGCTGAAAGCTCTGAGGGACTTTGCTTTCTCTTGCAAAACAAACTTGCTTCAAGTATAAAATGAAGGCAATGATAATTTAACAAACATGAACAACTAAGCAACTGTATCATATTTCTTTTATGTATGTGTTATTTTCCTTTATTAGCCAAACACTTATGATGAAAATGATGACACAGAAGGAAGGGGAAAGATAGGGCAACTCATAATTCCTTTTCCTTTCAAGTGTTTTCTTATGCACTAATAAACTGAAGTTAGAGCATCTTAAAAGAATGTACATTTATTCCAAAGTAAAATTTAAAAAGTTGATTAGTTTTATACAGCTTCTTTTCTGGCAAGAACTAGGTACATATGCATGTATAAACTATAAAATATAAATTGTATAATATTGCTGATTCTACTATAAATTCTTACATTTGCATTTAAAACTGGCATTGAATAATGAAAGGAAGAATAATAAAATTCATACTAATGTAAATATTTTTCTGAAAATGACATTAAATAGCAAATAAAAAGCATCATTATAAACTGAAAGACTGTGGAAGAAAGGAAAAAACTTCAGGCTTTAGTACCTTTAATGACATGTTTTTCTTGCTTTCTGAAAAAGGCCCCCACAGAGTATATACCAATCTTGCCTAAAATACGAACCATACGGTATGGGAAAAAGAAAATAAGAATATCACCTTCTTCAATATAGACTACCTCAGATATTTTTGGGCATCCCCTGAGGGTTTTCTGTAAGTAGAAAAGAAAAACCTGCTCCTGTTCCTTAGTTTGTTTTTCTCTCTGTGTGTGTGCATTGATCACTGCCACTGCCCTCTGCCAGTGCCAATGCTGCTTGGCTCCTGTACCCACTGGGCATCTCCATGCTTCACCAGGGACCACCAGGAGAGCTTCCAGTGAGTCATTGTTAGTCCCCAAACCATTTGTGCAACAGAATTTCACTGACGCCAACTTGAAAAAAATGTATTTTGATTAAAATTCAGCAAGCTGCTAGGACAAGAATTTGTTTCAAACCACGATTTGGTTGAAAATGACAAATCTATAGTTTTTGTAATTTCTAATTCATTTTCAGTGAAGAAACCATGAGAGTAGATGAACTGAAAATGAATTAGAAACAGCAATGCAAAAAATAGAGAAGATATTCCTCTAATCCTGGGAAGAAAAAAAAAAGAAAATGATGAAGATGGATAAAGTATGGCAAAACCACTCTATTGTGCATTAACATCTCCTAATTAATTTCACCCTCCCTCCCACAAACAAACACCACATGCTGTGACTGTGGAACACTTGTTTTATCCTCAGTTCCATGACTTTGTTGCATATTGTTCTGTCTGGTCCCTGTGGTCTGCAGTAGAATTGGTGGGCAAACAGCCTCTTCTCTCCTGGTGGTGACTGCTGCCTCATGGGGACGGAAGTATCTCTGTGTGCACAGGAACACCACGACTTTATTGACTGTTTCCTTCAGTGTCTGCCGCTAACTCTTCTCCATTAGGGGAAAACCAGTGCTGCAAACAGCAGATTCAGAGATTCACATGGCATGCCAAGCACCAGTGTTCCTCCTCTCTGCTCCCCTATTCAATACACAGCCATATAAGCACATACCAAAGAAATAATCTTCCACTCTCAGGCCAAAAGGAAGCCAATCTCCATGCTTATCAGGATACAATGAATAAAGATGCATGCTACAAGAATCTCTCCACAGAGTCCACCAGTTCCACAAATAGCAAGCTCAGAAACTGGTTTGGTCTCATATAGCAGTAAGAGTGACCTATGAATAATGCTAACCTCCTACAAAAATCTTTATGGGACACTTAAATATAAGACAGTGACCTTATTAATCTTCCTTGTATTTTTCCTGCAACTAACCTGCTTTATATATTATGCCTGTCTTAGTATGTTTGCTCTTCTATAGCCTCAGGGATTTGTCTTGACTGTGTTGTGCCATTGCTGAAGTGTGTTGTTAAATTAGGCCCAAGTCTATCTCCTCTCCTTGAATTCCTTTATTAATGAACTGCAACCTAACTTCATACATACACAAACTAAAACCTAACTTAGGATTATGATGAACAACTGAGTCTCAGCCAATCCCAAGAAACGGAGTTTCAGCCAGGTATGGGCAGCCAACTGATTAGACCATGTCCAAACAAGGTAAATGTCTAGCTGTATCCCAATCAAGCTATTCGTGCCCTTTAGTCTCCTGTTCTGTTTGTAAATAATCATTGCTCACTGTTACAGAGCAGAGCTCTCTGAGCCTCTTCTGGTTCTGAGTGCTGCCCAATTTGTGAATCATTCTTTGCTCAAATAAACTTTATTAAATTTAATTTTTCTAAAGTTTTTCTTTTAACAAAGTGTTAGGTGATCTTTTCTCAAAAAGCAGTCTATAGTGAGCCAAAATAACAGGAGTTGTAAGTTGGGAGGGCACAATGCTCCAGGAATTTTTTTTCTGATACTGCATATGTGATATGTTTATATGCTGAATCATATTTACCAAATGCCTCTTGTTGCTGTGGATTCAAAAGTGTATAATACATAGCTGGTTTATTTAACCAGCACTTAATTTATTGGGATAGCCAGATCTATGCACAGTTGCAAGACAGGGAGGTGAGTGCCCTTGCTGAGGTTCAAGCATATTGCTGTTGGAGCATAGAACTGGGAACATCTAGCTCTCTGCCTGATGTGGACAGTAGGAAAGAAGTTTCCACTGAATAAATAACATGTCAGGAAAGTCTCAAAAAGTGAGCAGAGACAGGATTTTCAGAAGGCATTTCAGGCACAAAGGCAGAACCTTTGCAAAGTTACAGAGCAGGAAAAAACAATGAGGCACATCCAAGAACTATGTTTTGAGTCACAGTATGGCTGGGGCATCAAATATGCCTTCAGGGTGACGGAAGGTACACTGGACCAAACCTCTATTCAATATGAAAGAGTTAGGACTTTATTCTGTAGAAAACTTGTGAAGATTTTGAACACAGGATATTCGTGACGAGGATAATGTTTTATAAAGATCATTCAGGCTAAGGGATAGGGTAGAATTGATTGAAGCAGAATGGGAGTCCAGGGAAAAAAAAACCTGTCATGAGGCCAGGGCAGGAGTCAGACTGAAAATGCTGAAGGAACAAAGCAAGCAGGGACAACAGGAATGGGGAGGAAGGAATATTTCTGAGAAAAACAAAGAGATGGAATTTACTGGGCATCAAAACTGACTTCATTCTGGGAGTGAGAGATGAAAGAGCCATCATTTAAAATTTTTAAAATATTTCTATTGATGCATAATGGATGTACATAGTTTTGGGGTACATGTGATAATTTAATACATTCGTATAGTTTGTAAAGATCAAATTGGTGTACTTGAGATATGCATCACCTTAAATATTTGTCTTTATGCAAGAAATTCAAATTATTCTCTTCTATTTTGAAATGTACAATAGAATATTGTAAACTACAGTCACCCTACTAATCTGCCTAACACTATGTATTATTTCTTGTATAAAATCATATATTTGTGGGTGAGTGGCTCATGCCTGTAATCCTAGCACTTCGGGAGGCTGAGGCAGGTAGATTGATGGAGGTTAGGAATTTGAGACAAACCTGGGCAATAGAGTGAGACCTCATCTCTAAAAGAAAAAATTAAAAATTAGCCAGGAGCCAAAATAGCGGATAGGAGACAGGACTAATGTGCAGTTCCTACTTCGACGAATGGAACAGCATGTGGAGACCCACATCGTGAACTTCTGCTCCAAGAATTACTGCAGGAACATATCAGGAAAACTGATAAAATTCACAGACCCTTTGAAAGAGGTGGCTTGCTGCTGCAAACTCTGTGAGACAGCTGAAAAACTGTGAGTTCCCAAAGTGTGAGAGGAAAAGTCGGCCTCCGAGTACACATTCCCACTGGGAACCTGAAAATCCAGATCATGAGAGAAAGATTTAACCTTACCTAGAGCTGAAATGGGTTTAGGGAGCTGAGCAAAATAGAAACATAGAAGCAGCGGGAAGTACCCTGCAAGCACGCCCAGTCCCCAGCTGAAGCCCAGGAAACCATCCCTGGCTTTATCTCATAGGGGTCCTTGAGGAAGGCAGCCAGTAGAATTGGGAAGGGGCCACAGGGTAAAGAAAGCTTCTAGCTGGACTTTTTAATAATTTCAACTGAGCATGAATTTTCCTGAGCAGAACCCAGAGAGATTAATGAAAAGTGCAGATAGGAGCACAGAAGCCACAGCCTGTGGTGCGGGGAGGTGGGAAGGGGCAAGGCCGGAAAGCCCTGCTTGCTCTGTCAGCAGGGAGGCTTGTAGTCTAAGGCAAGATCTCAGCCCTGAGTGCTGGCTGCCTGGATGTAAACTTGGTGCTGTTGGCGGGGCATGGTGGGGAGTGAGGCTGGCCTTGCTGGCGCCTGGGAGCTGAGTGAGATGTGTCACTGCCGGCTTTCTCCCACTTCCCTGGCAATATATATGACACAGCAGAGGCAGCCATAATCCCCCCTTGGAACATAATTCCACTGGCCTGCAAACCACTACCCCAAACCCCACAGTGGCTGCAGCAAGCCCCGTCAAAGGAGTCTGAGCTGAGACCTGCCTAACCCTGCCCCCACCTGACAATCTTTCTCTACCTTCCCTGGTAGCTAAATACAAAAGAAAAAAACTCTTGGGAGCTCTATGGCCCTGTCCATCATCTGAGAAACCTGAATACTTATCCTGGCCAACATAGGGCAAGCTTATATCCCCCTTCTACTACTGCAGCTGGTGCTATCTTGAAATCGCCACCTGCTGGCTGGAGGCCAATCAACTCAAGCCTTTACAGCAACTCGTAACAGAACAACAGTATTAGTCTGTTTTCGCACTGCTGATAAAGACATAGCTGAGACTGGGAAGAAAAAGAGGTTTAATGGACTTACAGTTCCACATGGCTGGGGAGCCCTCACTATCATGGCAGAAGGCAAGAAGGAGCGTCACATCTTACGTAAATGGTGGCAGGCAAAGAGAGAGCTTGTGCAGGGAAACTCCAGTTTTAAAACCACCGAATCTTGTGGGACTCATTTACTATACTGAGAACAGCACAGGAAAAAACCTGCCCCTGTGATTCAATCACCTCTTACCAGGTTCCTCCCACAACACGTGGGAATTATGGGAGTTACAATTCCAGATGAGATTTGGGTGGGGATGCAGCAAAACCATATTATTCCATCCCTTGTCCCTCCCAAATCTCACGTCCTCACATTTCAAAACCAATTATGCCTTTCCAACAGTCCCCCAAAGTCTTAACTCATTTCAGCATTAACTCAGATGTCCACAGTCCAACATCTCGTCTGAGACAAGGCAAGTCCCTTCTGCCTATGAGTCTGTAAAAATCAAAGAAAGTTACTTCCTAAATACAATGCGGGTACAGGCATTGGGTAAATACAGCCATTCCAAATGGGAGAAATTGTCCAAAACAAAGGGCCTATAGGCCCCATGCAAGTCTGAAATCCAGCAGAGCAGTCAAATCTTAAAGCTCCCAAATGATTCCCTTTGATTCCATGTCTCGCTTCCGGGTCATGCTGATGCAAGAGGTGGGTTCCCATGGTCTTGGGCGCTCTGCCTCTGTGGCTCTGCAGGACACGGCCTCCCTCCTGGCTGCTTTTATGGGCTGGTGTTGAGACTAAGGTGGGAGGATTGCTTGAGCCTGGGAAGTTGAGGCTGCAGTGAGCCTTGATAGCACTACTGCACTCCAGCTTGAGAAACAGAGCAAGACCCTATCTCCAAAAACAACAACAACAAAAAACGAAATAAATAAAACCATATATCTGTACCCATTAATCAATGTCTGTTCATACTCCCCTACTCTCTACCCCTCCCAGCCTCTGGTAACCACAGATCTACTCTGTATTTTCATGAGATCCACTGTTTTAGCTCCAACATATGAGTGAGAACATAGGATATTTGTCGTCTTTGCTTGGCTTATTTCACTTAATTCCAGGTTCATCCATGTTGCCACAAATGACACACAGTCATTCTTTTTATGGCTGAATAACATTTCATTGTGTATATAAACCAAATTTTCTTTATCCATTTATTATTGCACACTTGGGTTGATTCCATATTTTGGCTATTGTGAATAGTGCTTTAATAAACACGAGAGTGCAAATATCTTTTCAATATATTGATTTTCTTTCTTTTGGATATATATCCAGTAGTGGAATCGTTGGATCGTATGGTAGCTCTATTTTTAGTTCTTTAAGGAACCTTCATGCTGTTCTTCATAGTGGTTGTACTAATTTATACTCTCACCAATAGTGTATGAGGGTTCTCCTTTTTCCACATTCTTGCCAGCATCCGTTATTGCCTGTCTTTTGGAAAAAAGTCATTTTAACTGGGATGAGATTATGTCTCTCATTGTAGTTTTGTTTTTGTTTTTTGAGGAAAGTAAATGAATAAAGAATGACTACCTCGTAGGCAGAGCAGTCCTCTCATTGTAGTTTCGATTTGCATATCTGTGATGATTAGTGATGTTGAGCATCTGTTCATAAACCTGTTGGCTATTTGTATGTCTTCTGTTGAGAAACGTCTATTCATATCTTTTGTCCATTTTTAAATTAGATTTTTTGTTGTGGGTTTTTTTTTTTTTTGTAAATGAGTTGTTTGAGTTCCTTATATATTCTGGTTATTAGTCCCTTGTAAGATGGGTAGTATGCAAATATTTTCTCCCATTCTATAGGTTGTTTCTTCACTTTGTTGATTTTTTCATTTGCTGTTCAGGAACTTTTCAGCTGACATAATCCCATGTGTCTATTTTTGATTTGGTTGCTTGTGCTTTTAAGGTCTTATATTAAAAAAAAATCTTTCCCAGACCACTGTTCTGGAGCACTTCCCTAATGTTTTCTTCTAGTTTCAGAGTTTTGGGTCTTAGATTTAAGACATTAATCTATTTTTACTTTATTTTTGTATATATTGAGAGATATGGATCCAGTTTCATTCTGCTGACTTATAGTTATCCAGCACCATGGGAGCAACACTACTTATCAAAGATGCTGTCCTTTCCCCATTGTATGTTCTAGGTACCTTCATCAAAGATGATTTGGCTGTAAATGCATGGATTTATCCCTGGGTTCTTTATTGTGTTCCATTGGTCTATGTGTCTGTTTTTTATGCCAGACAATGCTGCTTTAAATACTACAGTTTTGGAATAAATTTTGAAATCCAGGTAGTGTGATGCCTCCAGCTTTGTTTTTTTTTTTTTCCCCACAGGATTGTTTTGGTTATTTGGGGTCTTTTATGGTTCCATACAAATTTTAGGATTGTTTCTTCTATTTCTGTGAAAAATATCATTGGTATTTTGATAGAGATTGCACTGAATCTGTAGATTGCTTTGGATAGTATGGACATTTTAGCAATATTGATTCTTTCAATTCATGAGCATGAAATGTTCTTTTCATTTTTCGTGTGTCCTGTTTAATTTCTTTCATTAGTGTTTTACCGTTTTCCTGGTAAAGATCTTTTACTTTCTGGGTTAAATATATTTGTAGGTATTTTATATTCTTTGTAGCTCTTGTAAATGGCATTGTTTTCTTGATTTTTCAGGTTGTCTGCTGTTGGTATAGGTAAGTGCTACTGATTTTTATATACTGATTTTGTATCTTGCAATTTTCCCAAATTTGTTGATCAGTTATAAGAGTTTTTGGTGGAGTCTTTGTGTTTTCTTTCTAAGTATAAGATCATGTTATCTGCAAGCAAGGCTAATTTGACCTTTTCCTTTCCAATTAAGATGACCTTTATTTTTTTCTCTTGTCTAATTCTTCTGTCCAGGACTTCCAGTGCTATGTTGAATAAAAGTGGTGAAAGTGGGGATTATATCTTGTTCCAGCTCTCAGAAAAAAAAGGCCTTCAATTTTTCCCCATTCAGTATGATATTAGTTGTGGGTTTGGCATATGCGGTCTTTATTATTGTGATGTATGTTCCTTCTATATCCGGTTTAATGAAGGTTTTTATCATAAACAGATGTTGAACTTTATCAAATGCTTTTTCAGCTTCTATTGAAGGAATCATATGGTTTCTCTAGTTGGTTCTGTTAATCTGATGTATCACATTTATTGATTCCCATTTGTTGGACCATCCTTGCATTCCAGAGATGAATCCCACTTGATCATGATGAATGCTCTTCTTAATGTGTTGTTGAATTTGGTTTGCTAGTATTTTGTTAAGAATTTTGCATTTATACTCATCAATAATATTGGCTTGTAGTTTTCTTTTCTTAGTTGTATCCTTCTCTGGTGTTGGTATCAGGGTAATGCTGTCCTCATAGAATGAATTTGAAAGTATTCCCTCCTCTTTATGTTTTGGAATAGTTTGAAAAGAATTGGTATTATTTCCTCTTTAAAAGTTTGATAGAATTCAGCAGTAAAACCATTAGGTTCTAGGCTTTTCTTTGATGGGAGACTTTTTATGGCTTCAGTTGCATTACTTGTTATTAATTTATTGATGTTTTCTGATTCTTTATGGTTCAATTTTGTAGGTGATATGTGTCCAGGAATTTATTCATTTCCTGCTTTTCCAATTTGTTGATGAATAGTTTGTAATAATATTCTCTGGGTATTCTTTATATTTCTATGGTCTCAGTTATTAGCTCTCCTTTTTCATCTCTGATTTTTATTTATTTGGGTATTCTCTCCTTTTTTCTTAGGGCAGCTATCAATTTGGCTCATCTTTTCAAAAAACCAACTTATTTCATTGATCTTTTAAGTCTCAGTTTTATTTATTTCTGCTTTAATCTGTATTATTTATTTCCTTATACTAATTTTGGGTTTGGTTTGTCCTTGCTTTTCTAGGCCTTGCAGTGCATTTTTAGGTTGTTTGTTTGAAGTCTTTCTAGTTTTGTAATACAAGAAGTGTTTCTGGGGACTGTTGTGGGGTAGGGAGAGGGGGGAGGGATAGCATTAGGAGATATACCTAATGCTAAATGACGAGTTAATGGGTGCAGCACACCAGCATGGCACATGTATACATATGTAACTAACCTGCACATTGTGCACATGTACCCTAAAACTTAAAGTATAATAATAATAAAAAAAGAAGTGTTTGTTTTACAAACTTCTTTCTTAGTACTGCTTTTGCTGTATCCCATAGATTTTTGTGTGTTGTGTATCCATTTTTTATTTCAGTAGGAAGAGCCATCCTTTGAAGACAGGTGAATAGGAAGTGGTGCTTTTCAGTGAGGAGCAAAGCTCAGTGAGAAACAGAATGGCCTCAGTTTTAGGCATGCTGAACATTTAATTGCAGGTTTTCACACATATAATTAATATCCAGCAAAATTCACCTTTTTTGGTATACAGTTCTATGGATTGTGAATCACCATCAAAACTGAGGTAGAGAATATATATCCATCACCCCAAAGTGTGTAGTGAGCATCTTTCCCCATTCCTAACCCCTGGAAACCACTAATCTGCTTTCTGTCTTTCTAGTTTTTCATGTTCTACAGTGTCATATAAGTGGAATCATACATTGCACAGTTTTAAAAATCTGGCTAATTTTACTTAATATAATGTTCTTGATATTCATATGGTTATTGTGTACATCCATGATTTGCTAACTTTTATTCATAAACTGAATTCTACTCTGTGGGCATAGCAAAATTTGTTTATCCATTCGTAAGTTTCATGGAGATTAATGTTGTTTCCCATTTTTGGAGATTATGAATAAATCCATAGAAAACATTTACATACAAGTGTTGTGTAAATACAAGTTTTTATTTCTCTAGAGTAAATACCTAGGAGTGGGATTCTTGAGTCATATCATAAGTATATATTTAACTTCATAAGAAACTGCCAAACTCCTTTCAACACTTTAGTATTGTCATTAGAAAAAATAAAACTAGCCATTCTAAAAAGTATGTACTGACATATCACTGTGGCTTTAATTTGATTTGACCTAATGATTAATGTCATATTTTCATGTGCTTCTTGGATATCTGTATAACTTTTTTTGTGAAGTGCCTGTCACATATTTTGCCCATTTATTTTTATTGAGTTGTTTGTTTTCTTGTTATTGAGTATATATTTATAAATATAGTTGGGATACAAGCCATTTCTCAGATATGTATTTTGCAAGTATTTTCTCCTGATCTGTGCCTGCTCTTTTCATTGGCTTAACCCTATCTTTTTTGTTTAATAACAGCTAAAGTTTTTAATTTTGATGAAGTTTAATTTTTGATGAATGTACCAATTTGTTTATTTTTACAGATGGAAATCTTGGTATTGTATCTAAGAAATCTTCATCTAACCAAGCCACAAGGGCTTTTCCTGTGTTTTCTTCTAGAGGTTTTATACTTTTAGGTTTTACATTCATGCCTATGATCCATTTTGAATTACCTTTTGTATGCAGTGTGAGATATGGATTGAGGCTTACTTTAAAATTTTTGCAAACAGATATCTAGTTGTTCAAGAACCATTTGTTGAAAAGACTATTTTTTCTCTGTTGAATTGTCTTTAGACCTTTGTCAGGAGTCAGTTGAATATGTCTGAGATGTTCTTGTCTGCTTCTCACTATATTAAAAGCTCCTGGAAGCTTAGAATCTTTCTTCACATTAATTTTTTTTCAGTTCCTATCATGATGCTTTGTAGATAAGAAATATTCCACACGTGTTGAAGGTAGCAAAAAACAGCTTTAAGAACATCAATAACTGGGTTTGCATCTTCCCGCTTCCATTCATTAGTGTGATTTTAGATCAATTACATATCTTCTCCACATTCAGGTTTTTACATTTTTGATTGTCATAATATTTAGCTCACAGAACGTTGGGAGGATTAAATGAATACAGGAAAATGATTTGGTATTTGGTACTATGATGCCTCATGTGTACTAGGTGTTCCATAAAGATAGTTATTTATGTAATTAAAATTAATTTAATAAAGATGAATAATAAAAAATGAATATTGAATTATGTGAACTCAGTTAATTTTGCATGTTTCCCAGAGACTGTTAGGACTTCCAGTCACCTATGAAGTAGCAGCTGCTTTCAATTATGTACTAATTTGAATAAACCAACATCTACTCAATGAGGTTGTAGGAGACAGAGGAAGAGGCCAAGTAGGCACCTAAACAATCTTTCTGTTCTGAACTGAAAATCTCAGTAGCTCTGCCAGTGGGCCAGGGAGCAGCTTATTTTTTTTTTTTAATGTTTCTGATTGCAGAGCAGAGCTTGTTTCTTCGGATGTGTCTGCTAAGATGTTGCTGTGTTGAAAGACTATGTGCATGGTGGAAAGCTTTGTCCATGTCACTACAAGGGTGTTCTGACCTGCCACTGCCACTCCCTTTGACATGCCACTGACATCTCTGCAGATTTCCTTCCCCCATCCTTTTCATTAACATAAAAATTGTGAAACTTGGTCGAAAAATTTCTGGGAGCTAAACATAAGGCTTTTGTTTGACGACAGAATGCATAACATATCTACTTTGACTATATGCATGTTGTTAGACATTCATTCATTTCCTGAGCCTGCACAGGTCAGCTGGGGTAGCACCAAGTCAGTGAGTGGCACCTGGGCATGACTGACATGCTGCCAGGCCAGATGATTTGGGGCATTGGTACCAGAATTTTCTCACTTTGTTATCCATTTTATGAGATTTTTCTTCTATATACCAAATCTCAGGAATTTCAAGCTCATACACAAAATTTATGGTGACCATATCAAGTCTGGACAGTTTTATTAGGATAGGAATCTAAATGGAGAGCTTTCCCTAAAAAAGTAGGTGGGCTGGTTGAGCCTAGCTTGTACTTTGGCTGAGTGTGTTGGGCACTAACAGGTTTATCTCTGGAGAGCACCCATGAACGAAGTGTCAATAGCAGCTCTGTGGCGATGCTGTGGATGCATGGCCATCTCTCAGTGGCAGAATAAATGGCACAACTGCATGTGGCTCTCTCATGGGTAGAGTTAGGCTTGGACCTTTTAAAATGCCTTTGACTCAATTTTTATTTTTCTGTCTCAAAGTTCATAAATCATACCCAAGAAAATTCCAAATTAGATGTGTGCACAGAAGAAAAATCTTTATTTTCTGAAGACACAGCAAATTCAGCCAAACCTTACTAGTGCCCTGGCAATTCAGTTAGGTTTAAATGAGTTTTATTAGATAGCTTGATCCTGACTGTAACATCCATTGGCTACCAAGCACTCACACACGATAAAGCACTGAAGATTCACATTTTCAGGGATTTCACCCACCCCTGACACCCAATCTAATTATTATTAATGAGTGCCTTTCTTTCTGTGATGTACTAGTGGGACCAGCTTCAAGGACATGCAACCTGCACAATTGCATAGGGTCCCACACTTGGAAGTGTCTCACGTTTGACTTCTGTCACTGTTGTAAAACTCCAAACTAGTTTTTAACAGAGGAGCAGAGAAGGCATTCTTTGGAAGGATATGAGTGGCTCAGAGGGTCAATGGCAGGCCTTGAGAAACAGTCAGAAAATGCTAGGAATTACTGAGACTGGGTATTTCAATCCTTAGCTCAGGTCTTGCCACTGGGAAAGCGGGTCGGGCAGTGCTGCTGTCCCCACTGCAGAGCACAGGGTGCCCAAGCCACTGTCCTAAGGGAGGAAGCCTAAACCCTGCCTGCTTATTTGTGTTACTTGCTCCCAATCCAGATTCCTGCTTGGGAACCTCTAGTTTCCTGAGCATAGGTCATTGTTTCCAGCCTGGCTTCCAGAATTGGAGGAATAAATAAATATGCTCTGCAATTTTCTGTGCTGAGAATGGACCCTGCCAAGTTGGGTGAGTAGGACTCGCACAATGGCACATTCCCCAAACAGTTCACATTCTGGATTGCTGAAATACAAGGAAGAAAATGTGGCACGTGCTCATCTCACCTGACTTCTAAGTTTTTGAGTTTCCTAAACATCTTCCTTTGTGTTCTTCTCTATATTCTCTTCTAGTTATTTTGTGGTGTTGCCTTTGAATATTCTACCTTATTTTTGCTTCTCACTTACATGCATTTCCAGGTGAACACTTTTATCTACATTGCTGATGACCTTAAGTGACTCTGAAATCAACTTACTTATCTTTCTGTCCCAGACTTAGGGAGAAACTATTTCTAGGTAATATGATTGAAATGAGAAATCACTCTTCTAATATCACAATTCAAATAATCCTAATTTATTTACATTATTGCCTAGAACCACAGTGAGAGATATCCACTGGCATGTTCCCCAAAACATAATGCTTTGGTATCTAATTCTACAGAAACAAAAGCTCTTTTTCCCAATTGTTAATCTAAGGAAGGGAGCTTAAATATCGAGGAGGCTAAACAAAGATATCTAATTTTGGTATTATGCCAGGGTGATTATTCAGGTGAAATGGAATCATTTTAACTATTCAGCTGGTTTTTTTGTTTGTTCTAGACGTACATGGTGCAGTATATTGCATCTTTTCCCTGAAATTATTATAGAATTTCCTTCAGTTCTTTTTGCATTGACCACAGGCTTATCGAGTCTTTGATAAAGTCCTTTTAATTTGCACATCATTAAGAAATCCATGCACTACCAGGTTCAAAGGAGAGCAAGTCAGGTTTGAATAAACTTTACATAAGTCAAGGAGTGCAGTCATCCTGCTTTAATTTCATCACTTTTCAGGATCATTTTAATTTTTACTGGAGCCCTGTCTTAGGGCTCTATCTTGCCACCTTTCTGAAAAGTACACAGAGAAAAAAGAGATAGATGAAGGTGGAAGGATGTAAAGAGGGATAAATTACATCCAAGTTAAGACATCTTCCCAGCTTTTCCCCTCACTTTCTCTCACCTTGTCTCTCTTGGCTCTTGAAACATGAGCTGAGAGCAGGAAATGGTGATGAGGTCTTAGTTTATCACATACTAATAAATGTTCCTTAACTCTATCTTTTACCGTACTTTTATTAAAGTTAATGTATTCTGTAAAGCATTTTTGCTGTTGTTGTTGTTTTTTTGTTTTTTATTTTTTGAGATGGAGTCTCGCTCTGTCACCCAGGCTGTAATGCAGTGGCACAGTCTTGGCTCACTGCAACCTCTGCCTCCCAGGTCCAAGCAATTCTCCTGTCTCAGCCTCCCAAGTAGCTAAGATTACAGGCGCCCGCCACCACGCCCGGCTAATTTTTTGTATTTTTAGTAGAGACAGAATTTCACTATGTTGGCCAGGCTGGTGTCAAACTCCCGACCTTGTGATCTGCTTGCCTCAGCCTCCCAAAGTGCTGGGATTATAGGCGTGAGCCACCGCATCTGGTCCTGTAAAGTGTTTTAATCAGATCATCTGATCACTTAAAATGTAATTTTGATATTTCCAAAATTAAAATCTTTTTACTGCTGTCTTCGATACAGTTTTCAGTAATTAGAGCAACCAATTTAAATGCCTCTTCTGTGGACAGGTTTTATTTTCATGGTGGTTATTTTAATCTATTCACAGGTGTTCATTTAAAACATCAATAAATACTTTATGCTTAATGCAATATTTTAGATATTAAATCATCATTTAAAGTCTTGCAGGGAGTCTCAAGAATATAAGAATAACTGAATAGAATATGGAGCAGCATATAGACTCTGACAATTATGTGTTGGAGAAACTAGAAGGGCATTCAGGAAAGAAAGACATAAGTACACATAATACAAAGGTTCACATTTTGATTTTTTATACACATTCCCTTCTCAGTTATATGTGCCTCTTTTTCAAGGCATAATTGAAAACAGAAAACTGCAGAGAGAAGAACTGAGAGTGAGATTAAGTATTTAACTACATTCCTGCTCTTTAAATGGTCTATGTATCTTAGAAATGCCTAATGTTAAAATTGTAGACTTCACTTTCATGAGACATCAGGATTCTCACTGGTGTAATGCTTACCATTTTGTTATTGCTTGTTCTGAAAGTCAGGCTGAATGAGGCTAGATAAAGAATGGAAGTGCCAAAATTAAACTTATATGTTTAATATATATAAATACACATAAATATGTAATTATATAGAAATATATATTTTTCTATTTTATATATAATTATCCACTTTATTCCTGTTTCCCTTTCCTGTGTTTTCAGAATAGAATTTACTGTTAGAAATTAAGCTACTAGAAATGCCAGACTCTCTGCATGTCTTAGTTCTTTTGAGTCCATTTAGTTTTCACTACACAGTGTCTTTCAACCATGAAGGACTATTGTGCTGTAGCAGTGTTAATTTTTCTTGTGATCATATTACGTTTCTGAAGATCTACTCTCTTTCCTTGGTTTTGTGAAGATTACAGCCACCTAAAACCATCAGAAACTTCCATACTCTACACATGTACATTCAACTGACAACTCTGTCCTATCAGTTCCACAGCTGTACTGTCTGGAATCTTTCTCCTCTAAAGCCATTGCTTTAGTATGAAGCCACATCACCTCCTGCCTAAATTATTGCTGTACAATCCTAACAGGTGCTCCTATCTGCAATTGGTTTTCTGTTGATATCGCTCCCATTTCTGGCAGAATGAGCTTTCTAATACTCAGGTAATCATTTTTATTTTGTAGGTTTTAACTACAATGGTACCCAACTGCCCTCAGAATAAAATCTAAAATCCTTAGCATGACTTACTTGTAAGTCTGACGACTTCTCCTTCCTTGTCTCATTGCTCTACCTTCCCTAAATTTATGCCCAGACTATTTAAGCTACTCTTTCTTGCTGGAAGATACTGCTTTTCTACTTCATCTACTCACCTGGCAAGACTCAGTTTATGTTCCACCTTCTCTATGGACACCTTAATTACTGTCCTCCCACAACTAAGTAGAATTTTCCAGTCCTTTCTCTATGACCAACTCCTTTATCCCCACTACTTTGTACAGATTTCTATCAGAGCATAGGTAACATCCAAATATGTTTTATTTCTTTACCTGTCCTGATCATTATACAGAAACACAGAAATTATTTTCATGAAGACTTTGTAAGTAAATTTTAAAAATTAAGATATGATTCAAATACCATAAAAGTCAGCATTTTAAAATATACAATTAGGTTGTTTTTAGTATTCACAAAGCTGAACACCAATCGCTACTATTTCCAGAACATTTCATCATTCCAAAAAGAAATCTCATCACTATTAGCAGGATATCTCCCCCAATCTCCTCTTGCCTCAGGCCCCAGAAAGCAATATACTTTTGGGCTGTATGGATTTGCTTATTCTGGACATTTCATATAAATCATACAATATGTAGCCTTTTGTGTCTGTCTTCCTTTACTGAACATAATGTTTTCCTGATTCCTCCATGTTGCAGCATGTATCCATACTTCCTGCTTTTGCGTGGCTGAATAATATTCAATTGCATGGATATACCACATTTTAAAAATCCATTTATCTGTTGACACACATTTGGGTTGCTTTCATGTTTGTCTATTATGAATAATGCTGCTATGAACATTTGTGTACATGTTTTTGTGTGGGCGTATATTTTCATTTCTCAGGTATATACTAAGGAGTGGAATTTTGTGGTCATAAGGTAACTTGATGCTTGATGATTTGGGGAACTAACACGCTGGTTTCTAAAGTGGCTGTGCCATTTTACATTCTCACCACTGATGAAGCATGAAGGCTCCCATTTTTCCACTGTATTTTGTCTAACTTTGTGATATAGTGATCCTAGCCAGTGTGAAGTGGTATCTCATGGATTGCATTCTCCTAATGACTAATGATTTCTGTGTACTTATTGCTCTTTTGTAAACTTCTTTGGAGAAAGAGGTATTAATATCCTTTGCCCATGTTAAAAATCAGGTTGTATGTTGTTGTTTTTTCTTTTCTTTTTTTTTTTTTTAAGTTGAGATGTTATAGTTTGAATGTGTTCCCTCCAAAATTCAGGTGTTGGTAATGTGATAGTATAAAGAGTTGGGGCCTTAAAGAGGTGATTAGGCCATGAGAGCTCCTCCCTTGTGAATGAAAATAGGTGCCCTTATAAAAGGGCTTTTTGGAGAAAGTTCATCCCTTTTTGCTCTTCCGCCTTCTGCCTTGTGAGGACACAGTGTTCATCCCCTCTGGAGGATGCAGCATTCAAGGCACCATTTTGGAAGCAGAGACCGGACCCTCAACAGACAACAAACCTACCAGTGCTTGAGCTTGGACTTTCGGCCTACAGAACTGTTAAAAAAAAATAAATTCCTGCTCCTAATAAAAAAGGTTGGTCCAAAAGTAATTGCAGTTTTTGCTATTACTTTTAATGTCAAAAACTGTGATGACTTTTGCACCAACCTAATAAATGATCTAGTTTGTGATATTTCAGTTTAGCAGCACAAATTGATTAAGACAAGATGTGAGAGCTCTTTGTACATTCTGGATACCCGTCCTTTTTCGGACATGTGATATGCAAACATTTTATTCATTTTGTGAGTTCTTTTTTCAATTTTTGCTAGTTTCCTTTGAAGAACAACGGTTTTAAATTTTTCTTATGTCCAGCTTATTATTATTTTTTGGTTGCTAGTGCTTTTGGTGTCATATCTAAGAAACCATTGCCAAATCCAAGTTCATTAAGATTTGTGCTTGTGATTTCTTCTGAGACTTTTATAGTTTTAACTCTTACATTAAGGTCTTTGATCCATTTTGAGTTAAATTTTGTATATGCTGTGAGATAAGAGTTCAGTTTTTTCTTTTACACGTGAATATCCAGTTATCTCAGCATTATTTGTTGGAAAGACTATTCTTTCTCTAGTGAATTGTTGTGGCACTTTTGTTGTAATTTATATATCACAAAACTATGAGTCTATATCTTAATTACCAGTTCAATTCTATTGATTAACATATCTATTCTATGCCAATACTACACTGTCTTAAATACTGTAGATTTGTTGCAAAATTTGAAATCAGGAAATGTGAGTCTTCCAACTTTATTTTTTTTTTTCAAGATTGCTTTTGCTGTTCTGGTTCTTTAAATTTCCAAATTCATTTTGAGAGCAAATTTTCAATTTATGCAAAATAGAAGTGAGGATTTTGATAGCAATTGAATTAAATAGGATAGATCAATTTATGGAGCCTTAACAACATTAAGTTTTCCAATTCATGAACAAATGATGTTTTAATTTACTTAGGTCTTTGATTTCTTTCACTGATGTTTTGTAGTTTCCAGTGTGTGTATCTTGTGCCTCCTTTGTTTAATTTGTTTGTATTTTATTCCTTCTGATGTCATTATAAGTGGAATCTTTGTCTTCATTTCATTTTTGAATTTTTTATTTCCAGTGCATAGAAATAGAATTGATTTTTGGCTATTAATCTTTTATCCTGTAACATTGCTGAACTCATTTATTAGTTCTAATAGTGTGTATGTGTGCTTCCTAGAATTATGAGGTAGTTTTACCTCTTTTGTTCCAACCGAGATGCCTTTTATTTTTTTTCTTGCCCAGTGGGCACAGCTAAAGCACACAGAACAATACTGAGTAGAAGTGGTGAAAGTGGGCATCTTTGTTTTGTTCTTGATCTTAGAGGGAAAGCTTTCACTTGTAAGTATGTTAGCTGTGGGTTTTTCCTTAATGTCCTTTTTCAGGTTGAGAATGTTCTCCTGTATTTGTAGTTTATTGACTATTCTTTATATAAAAGGGTATTAGATTTTGTTAAATGTATTTTCTGCATCTTTTGGAATGATTATGATTTTATCCTTTATTTATATCCTTTTTTATCCTTATTTCATTAATGTGGTATATTAGACAGATTGATTTTCATATGTTAATATGCCATAGTAATGCTCAAGTGTGATGCCTGTCTGATTTTCTTTGAAATCAGGGAAGGCAGCTTTCTTTATCTTTAATGCAACTTCACTTTTTGTTCTTTGTGCTATCTCTTCTGATGCAGCTAGGGGAAGAGTTTTAAGTTCATGTGCTAAGTAAGAAAATAATTTCTCTATTGATCAGACACAATGACAAATCCCATTCAAGTTACCAACCCCTGATCCCTCCAACTATAACGCCTTTACAGTTTTTCTCTTTTATTATGTAATTTCCAGTGTCCTGTAGGTATGTCCTGATTGCGATAAAGGGCCAGTCCTCCCCCACAAAATCTATATTATTTTAATAGAAGTTTCCAAATGAAGGTAAGTATTAGGTCAGAACTTGCTGTGTCATTTTCTAAAGCTTCTGCATTAATCCTGTAAATATTGACCTCATTGAAGGTCGAGTATGGATAGGGAGATCATATGCCCAGGCTTATCTGGGACAGTTCAGATTTATACCTGTTGTCCAGGTAAATTAATAATACTAGTCCTCCCTTTTATTCTAAAAATGGTTCTGGTTTGGATGATAAATTGTATGCCCTCTCCCCCAGTAGGGATCATCTCTGGTAGCCAGAAAATGTTTTTCATCTCTTCTGCCAGTTTTGATTTTTAGAGGACCCCTTTAGCTTCCACACTGGGCAGTTAAAATTGAACAAACCCTGAAATGTAACTACAAGAAATTTTGTTTTTTAAATTAGGTGTAGAGGAGGTGCTTGTAAATTGCAAGTGGAATTGAAGCCATGCTCCTGTGTTTTCAAACTAATTTAAAAATAATTCCCACATGGTGTTCCAAATATTGGAATAAATTAATGGCCAATTAATGATGTCTTTTATGGAAAACAATATTTTTCCTTCACAATGTGATCACTACATGAGCACTGTTTTCTTGGAAAGATTACCTGTTGGTATAAAGTTATTTGTAATATTGAAAAGAATATACAATAGGATAGTATTTGGCAGATCACATAGTCTACACTATCAGAAGGATCAACTTTTCCAGGAAATGTGGCCAGGAGGCCCTGTACAAAATCCCATGTAAATTAGTATAAGAAAACAACTTTTTTGATAATGAGGAAATATTTTGAAGAAATCAAAATTTCTTGGAGTGTTCTTGGTTCTATGACAAGTTTTTTCAATTCACAGATCTGTGCCTATTTTTAATAACACATGAATTGCCAAATGCTATTGTTCTTGGTATTGTATGTACTTGCTTTAATTTCGTTTATGGAATTTGTGGACATTAATTCATTCAATTGCCCCCAACTTAACTGATTATCTTGAGTAGAAGATCACTCTGAAATAATGTTACATGGTAGAGGGATATTTTAAAACAAATATATGGGAGATTAGCCATTGAAGTCTGTGAGGCTTCTCATAATTCAATTTTTTCCATCCCTGGAGAACTAGACGAGACTCCCAAAACAAGGTGTAGTTTAAGTAGTGTTATGTCTATACTTATTGTTTTCTCTTTTTAAATATGAGAGCTAGTCCTTGTTATGAACTAAACAAGTAGGCCATCAGGGATTACTGCCACAATATAGGTCACACAGGCTGATCCAACAGGGCCACGATGATGATCAATATGGCATCATTTTGACTAAGTGGGAAGGTTTTATCCCCAGCTTAATAGATAACAACAGGATTTCTAGAGGCATCTTTTTTTTTTCTGTAGAAGGCTGCCTTAGCTTTTGATATGGTTTGGCTGTGTCCCCACCCAAGTCTCATATGTAGTTCTCACAATTCCCATATGTCATGGGAGGGACCCAGTGGGAGGTAACTGAATCATGGGGCAGGTCTTTTCTGTGCTATTCTTGTGATGGTGAATAAATCTCATGAGGTCTGATGGTTTTATAAGGGGCAGTTCCCCTGGACATGCTCTCTTTGCCTGCTGCTATGTAATATGTGACTTTTCTCCTCTATTGCCTTCTGCCATGATTGTGAGGCCTCCCCAGCCATGTGGAACTGTGAGTCAATTAAACCTCTTTCCTTTATAAATTACTCATTCTTGGGTATGTCTTTATTAGCAGCATGAGAACAGACTAATACAGCTTCTTTTCAGTATTTGATGAAGTTTCATTAGTGCCTGGAGTCATGTAAATGACAAATATGGCCTGGAAAAGACAACTTTTAAAGAGTTGTTATTCATTAATTAATGTATAAGTCATGGTCTTGCAAAAAAATGACCCATCTGTAGGTTAAAAGACAGTGTTTGATAACAAATGGCTATTAAAGTTGAAGAAATATTTAATCTTTCGGCAGTCAACAGAATGCAAATTCAAATAATACAGGCCAGTTTCCTTTATTAATTTTGTGAAGGTTTTAAAAATCGATAATATATATTGCTGGCAAGAATGCAGAAAAAAATAGGTCGTTTGTGGTGTTCTACTGAGAAAATAAAAAGATACAAATTTTCTAGGTAAGCATTTGGCAAAAGTGAATATTCTTAAAAATGTTGATATCCTGGCCGGGCGCGGTGGCTCACGCCTGTAATCCCAGCACTTTGGGAGGCCGAGGCGGGCGGATCACGAGGTCAGGAGATCGAGACCATCCTGGCTAAAACGGTGAAACCCCGTCTCTACTAAAAATACAAAAAATTAGCCGGGCGTAGTGGCGGGCGCCTGTAGTCCCAGCTACTTGGGAGGCTGAGGCAGGAGAATGGCGTGAACCCGGGAGGCGGAGCTTGCAGTGAGCCGAGATCCCGCCACTGCACTCCAGCCTGGGCGACAGAGCGAGACTCCGTCTCAAAAAAAAAAAAAAAAAAAATGTTGATATCCTTTAGCTCTAGGAATATATCCTAAGGAAAATATTCCAATTATAAAAAAGTACTATAACAAAGTAATCATGGATGTACATAGCTGTTTTTGTATAAAAATGGCACTTAAAATATGATTTATAATTATAAAACATTAGAGGTAACTAAATATACAATTTAATTTTGTAATGTGGTCTAAATGGGATATAAAGCCACTCGATTTATATAGTGAAAGAATATTCAAAGGAGTGGAATGATATTTATGAACATTAATTACAAAAAGCAGGTTATAAAATAGCATGATGCTCTTTTGATAAATTAAGCCTGAAGGCATATATAACAATGTTTGTTATCAGTAGAATGGACAAGTAAATTATGGTACGGTCCACAATGGGATACTATAATACAATTAAAAATAAATAAATTATAGCTATACACAGCAATGTGAAAGAATATTACAAATATATAATATTAAATAAAGCAAGAAAGAAACACAAGAATAGATAGAGTGATTCCATTTATGAGGACTTGAAAAACAGGCAAAACTAAACTATAGCATTTAGGGATGATATATGGATGATAAAAGCAAAGGAAAGTCAGAAGTAAGGATGACGCATGTCAAGATAACAGTTACCTTGGAGAAAGAGGATGAAGGTTATGATTAGAAAGAGAAACAGAGGACTTCTGGGGTAAAAATGATGTATGATTTTTTGACCTGGGAGTGGTTATATGAGTGTTTGCATCTATTTATTAAACTATAAATATAAGTTTTATACACATTATATGACTTATATTTTATTATAGTGAAATTTAAAAATTGTTTTCAGAGGATATCTGTGGTTGTAGAATTACAGGTTGTCCTAGTTTCCTTCTTTTGCTTGTTTATATATTCTAAATTTTCTATAATGAAGAGGTGTCACTTTAAAATAAAAATCCCCAAGATTTTTACCATAGTATTAACTATGGAGTAAGGATTGTCCTGTGTGTACAATACGATACAGTGGCTAACATTTGGTGATTATAGTAATTTCTCGTCAGTATTAATTTTCTGATAAAGGCAATTCAGAAAACTTCTTATAAAACTTAAATAAAAGACAATATTCAGAAAGTTGGAGGAAACTTCATAATCAACCCTAGAAAAACAAACTAACCAGCACAATAGCTTAATTATACAGTGAATAGATGCGATTTCTATCTTAATGGTCGTATGCATTTTGTCTTTATTTTAAAATTTAAATGGTCCTTATTAACTAGTTTAGTTTTTGTAATTATGACCTTCAAATATGAGAGTAGGCATCTCAGTGAATATGTAGCATATTTACATTTAACCAAGAATTATCTAAAAAAAGTCACTTTGATGACATTGTAATTGCAACATGGCCATGATGCACACTATTTTTTGTTCCTTCAAGGCTTGTAGTGATTTAGTGTAAAAAAAAAGCTGACAATTCTTTTTGTTTTTCTTTTTTCTTATAAGTTCTGGGGTACATGTGCACAATGTGCAGGTTTGTTACATAGGTATACATGTGCCATGTTGGTTTGCTGCACCCATCAACTCCTCCTTTACATTAGGTATTTCTCTTAATGCTATCCCTCCAATAGCCCCCCACCCCCCGACAGGCCCCAGGGTGTGATGTTCCCCTCCCTGTGTCCATGTGTTCTTATTGTTCAACTCCCACTTACGAGTGAGAACATGCGGTGTTTGGTTTTCTGTCCTTGTGATAGTTTGCTGAGAATGATGGTTTCCAGCTTCAGTCATGTCCCTGCAAATGAAATGAACTCATCCTTTTTTATGGCTGCATAGTATTCCATGGTGTATATGTGGCATATTTTCTTTATTCAGTCTATTATTGACGGACATTTGGGTTTGTTCCAAGCCTTTGCTATTGTGAATAGTGCTGCAATAAACATACATGTGCATGTGTCTTTATAGTAGCATGATTTATAATCCTTTGAGTATATACCCAGTAATGGGATTGCTGAATACAATGGTACTTCTAGTTCTAGATCCTTGAGGAATCGCCACACTGTCTTCCACAATGGTTGAACTAATTTACACTCCCATCAACAGTGTAAAAGTGTTTCTATTTCTCCACATCCTCTCCAGCATCTGTTTCCTGACTTTTTAATGATTGCCATTCTAACCGTTGTGAGATGGTGTCTCATTGTGGTCTTGATTTGCATTTCTCTAATGGCCAGTGATGATGAGCATTTGTTCATATGTCTGTTGGCTGCATAAATGTCTTCATTTGAGAAGTGTCTGTTCATATCCTTTGCCCACTTTTTGATGGTTTTTTTTTTCTTGTAAATTTAAGTTCTTTGTAGATTCTGGATATTAGCCCTTTGCCAGATGGAGAGATTGCAAAAATTTTCTCCCATTCTGTAGGTTGCCTGTTTACTCTGATGATAGCTTCTTGTGCTGTGCAGAAGCTCTTTAGTTTAATTAGATCCCATTTGTCTATTTTGGCATTTTTTGTCTAGTTTTTGGTGCTTTAGTCACGAAGTCTTTGCCCATGCCTATGTTATGAGTGGTATTGCCTAGGTTTTCTTCTAGGGTTTTTATGGTTTTAGGTCTTACATTTAAGTCTTTAATCCATCTTGAGTTAATTTTTGTATAAGGTGTAAGGAAGGGATTCAATTTCAGCTTTCTACATATGGCTAGCCAGTTCTCCCAGCACCATTATTAAAGAGGGGATCCTTTCCCCATTGCTTGTTTTTGTCAGTTTTGTCAAAGATCAGATGGTTGTAGATGTGTCACCGGTGTTATTTCTGAGGTCTCTGTTCTGTTCCACTGAGGATTTGTACCTGTTGGAAGAGGGAGTGGGACAGTGAGATTGTCTATTTCCATGGGAGGCTGTGTTGAGCTGAGCTTCTCTCTCTCTCTCTCTCTCAATCTCTCTCCCTCCATCCCTCCCTCCCTCTCTTTCTCTCTCTCCTCCTCCCTCCTTCCCTCTTTCTTAGGAGCTGGGCACTAGGGAGGTTCCTGGCATAAGGTGTGCACTGAACAAAGGTCTGGGCATCAAGAGGAAATAAAATTTGGTCAATGTTCCACTAGTCTAAGCTTGGGCCCCTTTCAGCACCATGCTGTCTGGAAGACGGAGGGACTTTATCCTTCCTGTAAAGGCTCCATTTTTTTTTTTCTAATTTATTTTCCTAGAGGGGGCAACTTTTAAAATTTTATGCCAAGGTTTTTATAGGGTAACATGAACTGTGCCTATGACTCTATCTGGGTATCTAGCAGAGCAGTGTTATCTCAAATTGAGATGGCTCACTGAGCTTGAGTGAAAGTATGGTACTGAGAAATTTCATGATGCATCTGAGAGTCACAGGCATTTGTAGAACTAACATCTAGAGAGATGATGCAAGTCAGTGAGTTCAAGCCAGGACTCTTAAATCTCAACCAATACCATGTCTAATATATTTGTTTCTATTTGCTGTTGTAACAAATCATTACAAGCAGTGGCTTAAAACAGCACACATTTACTCTCTTATTTCAGAAAGTCAAAAGTCTGAAATCAGTTTCACTGGACTGAAACCAAGGTGTCTGTAGGGCTGTACTCCTTCTAGAGGCTGTAGGACAATCCATTTGCCTGTCTTTTGCAGCTTCTAGAGCTTCATTGCTTGCATTCCTTGGCTCCTGGCCCCTTCCATCATCTCCAATGCTAGCAGTGTAGCATCTTTCTTCACTCCTCACATTACTTTCTTTTTGCTGTCAAATCTCCTTTTGCCTTGTGGTAACCACAAGGACCCACATTTAAGACCCACTCAGATAATCCATGATAACTTCCCCCATCTCAAGATACTTAATTCTGTCTCCTAAGTTTCTTTTGCCACATATGTAACATTCACAGGTTCTGAGTTTTAGAACCTAGCTATATTTTGGGTCTTTTATTCAGCCTACCACATGTGCAGTGTTCCAAGTTTGATAAAGTAGCATGGACAAACCTATTAATTATAAATGGCAGAACATGTGGTTTTGGTTTTGATTATATGAGAGATGTATACAGGAATTAATTGTAGGAAATGTAAACAAACACCACCTGCACAAAATATTTCCAGCATATCTTTGAAGAGGAAAAACTAATATGGATTATCAGTCAGGAGGCATCTAGTTCCTTTTATTGACTGGTTAGGTAACACTGGGCAAGTCATCGAATCTCTGTGGGACTCAGTGACTATATGGCCTTAAAATGAGACAGCTGAATTAGTCATCTCTAAGTTTCCTTCTGGCCCTAATTTGTGTGCATGCAGTTGTCATTAAAACACATTGTTGGACTGGGCTCAGTGGCTCACACCTGTAATCCCAGAACTTTGGAAGGCTGAGGTGGGCAGATCACCTGAGGTCAGGAGTTCAAGACCAGCATGGCCAAGGTGGTGAAACCCAGTCTCTACTAAAAGTACAAAAATTAGCTGGGTGTAGTGGTATATGCCTGTAATCCCAGCTATTCAGAAGGCTGAGACAGGAGAATCGCTTGAACCCAGGAGGCGGAGGTTGCAGTGAGTCTAGATCACGCCAATGTACTCCAGCCTAGGTGACAGAGCAAGAATCTGTTTCAAAAAACAAACAAATAAACAAAAACACATTATTGAACAATACCACGTATAAGAGCAGGCAGTCTTATGAACTGTGGAGATGTAAAGATGAAAAAGACAGTTTAGTGATACTACTATTCTATAAGTTTACCTTTAAAAATATTGAAAAATAGCAATGGCATAAAATATCCAAATGTTAAAACAGAGCATAAAAATTAGAGAAGAATCTGTGTAGATTATTTTGCCAAGAAGGAGGTAAAATAAATTGGCAAGATACAAGATGAAGGAGAAATACCTTTCTTTTCTACTGATGGTGTTTGGGACATGTTACTAGAAAATATGGCACCATGGCATGTCAGAAAACAGCAGAAGCAGGAAGGCCACTCTGCCCTTTCCCCTTTTTCCTTGAAGCAGGTTATAAAACCTAGGAAAGATTTTTTTTCTGGCCTTTCCCTGAAACTGATCATAAGACCCTCATTCGAGAGGCACCTACCTATGCCTATAAAGGAACATCCTTATCTCTGAAGATAGGAAAAAGTCTGAACGAACACGATTTGCTAAGTTTTCCCTAGCTTTTTACCATTAGATCATACCCCCTTTGTCCAGTCATACTTCTCCATGGACTATCAATTTCTTTATTAAGTCTAGCATAAAAAATACATTGGTTTACACGTTTCTTCAGGTCTTCATTTCCTTATAAAACTTATATTAAATACATTCATATGCTTTTATCTTGTTAATCTGTCTTTTATTATAGGGACCTCAGCCAAGAACCTCAGATGAGAAGGAAAGACACTGTTCATCCCCCACACTATCTAGGATTTGCTCTTGGTATTTATGTTTAGGAAAAGGGGATTTGCTGTTCATTTTTTAAATATAGGAAGGTTTTTGATAATTGATGAGTAGTTTTTATTTAAATACTCAAATTAACTAATAAAATATTTTGCTACTGTATTGTATTGGTTTTCACACTGCTGTAAAGAACTGCCTGAGACTGGGTAATTTATAAAGGAAAGAGGTTTAATTGACTCACAGTTCAGCATGGCTAGGGAGGCCTCAGGAAACTTACAATCATGGCAGATGGCAAAGCAGGAGTAAGGCACCTTCTTCATAAGATGGCAGGAAGGAGAATGAATGAAGGAAGAACTAACAAACACTTATGAAACCATCAGATCTCCTGAGAACTCACCCACTGTCATGAGAACAGCATGGGGGAAACCGCCCCCATGATTCAATTATTTCCACCTGGTCTCTCCCTTGACACATGAGGATTATGGGGATTACAATTCAAGATGAGATTTTGGGTGGGGATACAGCCAACCATATCATGTATTTACAGATGTATATAACTTGAACTCATTATCTAATTATGTGGGAAAACAATATTTTGTACTGGATAATGACAGAATTATATTCTAAGATATGTAGATTAGGTGTTAAAAGGTAAATGTACATATCTAGAGTAAAATTTTTAGAACTAAGAAACAGTTTAGAAATCATGGTATGAAATTTTTTTTCACAGATAAAAAGAGTGATTCAAAATCTCTCCAATAATTACCAAAATAAATAAGAATAAAACTGCAAATATTCTTTTTTTCTTATGTCACTGTTTTCCTCCTACAAAACATTGCCTCCCTCAAATTACAGGAGTTATGAATTGCTTAAAATATATGCTTTGTCTGTAAATTAACTCCAAATAGAAGGTAGAGAAAAGTGAAAAATTAACAGATTAACAAAATTGTAAAATTGTTTACTGTTTTATTTCTGACATTAATTATTATGCTTTCTGCCTGGCCTTAAAGTGTGTTAACATGAAACCAAGTGATACAGTGGGAAAAAAATTAATGGAAATCAGGAAGCCTAAATTCTCATTCAGATCTTATGTATGTTAAAACTGCCACCATGGGGGATAGTGTTTAAATTCTCAGGGCTCTATTTATTCATGTTATAAAGGCGAGGGTAGAGGGGTTGAATGAAATGAAGCTGACTCGATGAAGTAAAGAACAATCTTGTGAAATTCAAAGTGGAGACAATTGCCAAAATAAAGAGTCAACAGAAAGGTAAATTGAGGCTCATTAGTCAGTCTAGATAGTTTTTCTCTCTGTGACCCGAGTCCTGGCAGGAATTGATATCTTAATTTGTAGCTTAAAGACAGGACCTTGACTCTTTTGTTCCAGCTTTTACCATTAGCACCTGCCTACCACCGTGGCGTATATGAATTAATGCATAAGACTTATACCTGAAATCCTAGAGAAATTTGATTTTAATGCCATCATAGTCTTCATATCAACCAGTTTTTATAATATCTAGGAGGGAATACTGCTTAATTCTTTTTTTTTGTTGTTGTTATGGAACTACAAGATGGATTTATATCAATTTGTTTTTAATTACAGCTTTAGCAGGAAACATATCTCTTACCCACAGACCATTGCACCTTCCTTCTGAGAATTTATTTTATTTCATGTGTGACATACCCTTCATCTCTCATTTGAGGAGGAGCCTTTGAAATAGAAAACAGTTATATTAAAGAGAGACCTACTTAAAAAATAGACATATTCATTGTATTGAGAATTTATGGAACATCCCTTCGTGTTATACTCCAGTTGAGGTTTGCATCGGGTTAAAAAGTCATAGTAAATGCACATCAGGTTAAAAAGTCATTGTTAAATGCCCAAAGACCATGAAAATCAGATTTACTGAGTGTTTCATGTTTAACACTATATTAATTTTACCCCTTCCATTTAAAGTTTCTCTCTTTTTCTAAAATGGTTACAATATTTAGAAGAACTCTTTTCCCCACCCCCCAGAAAAAGAAAAATTCCCTCATACACCAGAAAAAAAAATTAAAGAAATTTCATTGCAAATGAGACCATGACACCACTGATTTAAGTGGAATAGCATGTTCTGGGTTTCAGCAATAAGATAACAGCTCCCTTGGCTTCTGCTCTTAGAGAGGTTTGAACTATTCCGGCAGCTCCCTGGCATGATTTAAGGCAATGGGCCTGGCATGCTGTTCATATTAAAGCAGAGACAGAGCAATGCGAGAACTAGTGAAAAGCTTGCCTGCCATCGATGAAAGAGCTCAGGAGAAATTCAAAGAGCCACTTAAACTTGGAGTCAACAATTGAAGTTTTCATAGTTTGGTGATGGAAAATAAGAGATATTTGTGTCAGGCAAACATTGGAGGCAACCAGTACTTAAGCAAATAATTTTAGCATTTCATTGGTGACTACATAGAAAGTGCTGGTCCCTATCTGCAAGGGCTAGCTTATTGATGGTGCCAGATAATGTGGCTGGGGTTTACCAGATGCAGAATGAGTGCTTCTAATATGGGATGTCACTAGATGTCACTCTGGATTTCATTATTTGGTAGTCTAGAGATTTAGCAGCTTTGCCATTTTGCTACCAGTGCTTCTTGCAGAACCTGAATAGACAGTGTGAAATGTGCATGAATAACAGGGAACTGCTGACTGAATGTCAATTTTCAAGTGTGTGACTTCTATTGATCATTCATTATTGACATGAAGGTCTCTAGAGTCTTTGCTTTTCACTTTAAACTCATTCTCAGCTAAAATTTCCAAGCATCTGAACAGTGAGGCCTTGAAGAACGGGATGATTCAGGTCTCACAGGATGTTTTACAAAGTACTTTGACCTCTGGAAGAAATCACAAGTACTTTTCATAAAGACTCAACAACTGCTTTGAATAAAAATTCAAATACCAAGACAGAAAAGAAAGTACATCCCTTTCCTTTTTAAACAGGTTCATTCTCACCTATCTGAGTTTATAAATAGCCAAGAAGAACTTTGATGAGAAAAATTCTTATATTTTCATTGTTGTTTCGCATGTCAACATGCTTTATTTGGTATACAGGTAATACAATTGTAGTGTCTCCCACCCCATGGTGACAGGCGACATGCCTATGATTGTGGACCCATGGATTTATTTCTTTTAGCTTTGTATACATTAATTAGGTATACACAATCAGAGCGGAGTGCAGAGGCAGCTAAATAAACAAATGACACCGTGGAAAGGTCTTTCTGCATACTAATCATATCCTACATCTGCAAGCAAAGGCTCTATAAATTGATTTGCTCTTTCACATCAAAAGACAAACAGTGATGCAAGTCAGCAGTTCCTTTGTCAAAGTCACAGAGATTGCTGTTCTTCACAAACGCATCTTTACAAAGCGGGATTCAACCATTTGACGATTAGCATTATTGGCAACTCTTCAAAGAAGATTCATCAAGTGATTTGCAATTGGATTGGTTACCATTTTTATGATGCTACTTTATGCAATCTAACTAAAGGTGATTGACATTTGAATTCTTGCTTGGAGGATGAGGAAGCCAGAAAAAAATAAAAAAGAAGTCTTCTGATTTCATAGAGACTGTGCCATGGTTGTGTGTGTGTGGGCTAATGTGTCAGCCATAGGGCACAATTGGCAGGACCTGACGTGAAATGGGTGCTGGGTGATGGGCATCTCTAAGTGGAGGCCAGGAGAATGGGTTCTTGATTGTCATATTTGTGCTGAAAGCACAAATGCCAAGTTTCAGCAAGTTTTGCAAGGGCGTATTAAGATATCCTAGTTTGTTTTACTGTTTGAGAACAAAATGTCAGTTTGCAATGGGTAAAATTGAGGTGGTTTACTCCAGCTAGACACTGATTGTGCTTCATTACTTTGATAGAGTGGTAAGGCATGGGAGAGAAGTAGAGAAAGTAGAGGTAGAATCTTCAGTATAAAGAACTACAAGATCTATAGAGAAATGAATAGTTAGGATAATAGCCATAGTACCAGGTTAGTAAGACTTAGGCATCACTATTATCTCTAACAATAGAGATGATAAAATTTGCCTCTGGTATAAACCTGAAAATTGTAGTAACATTTTCTATTGAATTTGACAATTCCTATTTAATCTAGTTATTAAATGTTATGTATTATTTAGCCATACATGAGACATTGTTGAGAGGTAAGCCATCCCTAAAATTCACTCAGTAGGATAATATCGTGTCCTCTCCAGGTTACACTTGAAACATTTCAGGTACATAATTCAATTCACCCATTATTTTCAAGAGTTCTGGCATTAACCTTGAAAGGCTTAGTTATTAAGAAATGTTCCTGATACAGTTAAAAGTTTAACTTGCACATTTATTTTTATCTTCAAATTATACTTTCAATTGAGAAGAATTTTCATTTTGGAGGACTATTCTTAAATTGTTTCCTAAAACATCAGAGAATCTGTTTCAAAACTCAAGCTCTTAGTCATTTCTGTTAGAAGCAGTTAGAGAGATTAGTTGAGTGAAATGCAGGCTGGTCTGGCAGGATGCTGCCTTCAGTAACGTTACTGAGTCTTTCACTCAGGCCAGGAACTGATTTTAGACAAGTGATTGAAGCACATTGTGCCTCAATTTCCTATCTGTTAAGTGGAGGCAGAAATATTGACTCATTACTGAAGAATGTTCTGAAGATTAGCTAATAAATGATGGTAGGAAAGCTTTGTGCAATTCTAAAGCGCTATATAAATGATATATTGTTATCACCATCACTACTAATAATTATAACGATCATAAAAAGTGAATGACTCTGCTGTTGAGAGCTTGAGTCTCACAGGAAAGTTATTTTTTCTGAGTCTGTTTTCTTGTTTTAACTGGGTCCTTAAAGCTGCTTAATTGAATAAAAGCGAGGATTTCAGCGCTCTCAGCATTTGTAGCCCCATTGTGGAATCTTTGTTCCAAAAATCAAAAGTGGCGAAAATTATCTACTGTGTGGGCTTTACATTTAGGAAATTATTCCTATTACCAGATTGTTTTTAGAGAAGAATTGGTATTAGCAATTATTTTCCCCTTTTAGTTAAATAACGGAAGTGCAGCCTGTGAAAAATGGTGTAGAAAATAAAATATTATGAAATATTGCCCTCTAACTCTCTAGAACTCAGTGATATGCTTCTGAAAAGAAAAAACCAACACAAAATCAAACAGGGAAGCAAGCACAATCATGTCTAGAAAATATAAATCCACACTGAAAAATCTAGAAAGAGATGTCACATGCTTCCTTCACAGGAGACCACTCCAAGTAGATTCTCAGTGTATTTTCACTCTCTTTACACAAAATCTTAACTGGTTTCGTTGAAGTAACAAATTAGAAGGAAGAGGAGGGCTACAGGGATCAAACACAATCACAGAGTTGGTTGTCAATTGCTGCATAGCAAACCATCCCAAATCACATTAATGTTGCCCATGGGTATGAAATTTGGGTAGGGCGCAAAGTGGGCAGCCCTAAGGCTCAGGGTTGGAATTGCTTTGCAGGTTTACTGCGCACAGATTATAACTTTAGCCTAGTGCATCCTGGGCTGCACTCTTCCCTCTTGTTTGGTGAGACAGAGCACTCTCAGACATAAGTCACATGGGTTTATGACTTACAGATAAGCAGCAAGTGACAGCAGCCTAGACTCAGAGTGGTCCAGTTCCCTGAGGCTCAGGAAAGCCACCCAGGGTGGATGGAATCTTGCCTGTGAATGTCCCACTTGCACTGCAGCTGAGGGAACCAGAAAAGCGGCCTGCCCTGGGTTTTATACCCTAGGGTAATAATATAACATGCTGGGCTAACATATGGCAGGACATCTTCTCTCTAGGAGGGGCTGGAACAGAGCCTGGGCTATTCCATCTATTTCCTCCTTATCACAGTATGTTGCATTTCCAGCACACTCTACACTTATTATTGAGAACTACAAGCAAGAACAGGGGAAGGAATGGGTCATTCCAAGGCCATCTGGAGACCACCATGGTTCTTCAGAACTATGTGATGGCTCACTCTATTTTATGTTTGACATTTGGGCTGGGAAGGCTCAGAAAGCTGGGGGCTGGAATAGCTGTGGCCCCTCAGGCCTTATTCTCTGTCTCTATGTGTTTTCTCCATGGGTCCCGCCAGCACGGTGGCTTCAGGGTAGCCAGACTTCTTTCACATTAGCTTCACGATCCTAGGGAATGTGCTTTGAGAGAGAAAGAGGGAGCCAGGAGGAAGCTAAATGGCCTTTATGGCCGAGCCCTGGACATCTCATGGCTTCGCTATCTTAAGCAGCTCAGGCTGCTATAACAAAATACCACTGGTGGAGTGACTGAAACCACGTATATTTATCCCTTACAATTCTGGAGGCTAGAAGTTTGAGATCAGGGCACCTGCATGGTTGGGTGCTGGTGGGAGCGGAGCCCTCATCCTGGTTTGCCGATGGTTGCATTCCTACTATATGCTCAGATGGTGAGACATAAAGCACTGGCGCCTCCTCTTCTACTTATAAGGGCAATCATCCTTCTTGGGCATTCTCATGATCTTATCTAAACCTAATTATCCACTAAAAGCTTGACTTCTTACTACTATCACACTAGGGGGGTTAGGGCTTCAACACATGAATTGGGGTTAGGGGCACACAAACATACGGTCCATAACATTCACTTTTGCTACATCCTGCCCCCTAGAAGCAAGTCTCTGAGACCAGCCCATAATCCAGGGGAGAGAAATTAGACTCTCCTTTCTTTTGGGGAGATGGAAGGAGAAGTGTTAAAAAATTTGCAGAGATGTTTGTAAACCGCCATTATCAGAATGGAGAGGTGAGTGCCAGATACCTGCAAGACTCCAAAGGTGGTGGTCGGACCCCTGCGGGCCTCACCCTGGTTTCCTTTACTAAGTTGACATCTCCTTGCTTGCTTGTTTTAGTTCTTACATTTGAGAAAATGTGATGTTTTCTTTGCTGTCTGAAACTCTCCATGATCTCTTCTTTCCCCACTCCTCTACCTCCTAGCCTGAACTCCAGCAATGCAATGTGGGCTTGAATTAGAAATCAGCCACCAGCTTTGTCTCTCTAAACAAGATACTTTAAGCCCTCTAACTGGGGATACAAATAGTTGTAACAGCTACCTATTACTGAATCATAATATGCTTCAGAACTTAGTGGCTTAAACAGTGACTTCTTGTTTCTCATGATTCTGTGGGTTAGTTGGGTGATTCTTCTGCTGGTTTTTCCTGGGCTCACTCAGGCAGTTGCAGTCAGTTGGTGGACTGGCTGAGGCCAGCATCTGTAATATGGCTTCACTGACACATCTGTGGTCCACAAGTCAGAAGGCCACCCCAGATTAAGAAGTGGAGAAACTGACTCTACCTCTTGATAGGAAATGCTACATAATATTGTATCCATGCTTTTCAATTTGTGACAATAAAAATTACCTATTAGGGTTTTGTGAGAACTAAATAAGATGCTCTCTAAAAGCACTTCATATAACACCTGAATATAATAAGTGCACCATAAATGCTAGCTGTCTTCATGCAGATTATTCCAGAAATGCAACATAGCGTAGTAGTTGATTATGGATTCTAAAAACAGATTAACTGGGTTTGTGTTACAACTATACAACTTACTGACGGTGTAAACTTGTGAGCACCTTCTAGTTTTCTTTCTGTAGACCATTACAGAGTAAATGTTCAATAATATTACAGGATAAGGTTACTATAGTTCAGGTTTCAGATTAAAGATATGTCTGTACCCACCCACTCCCACTATTACATCTCTCATTGTCTTCTGTAGTTTCTTTCATAACACTCATTCCAGCTTTAATTATTTGTTTAATGGATGTTTTTCCCACTATTAACATTTCACCCTGTGATGATAGGAAGAGCATCTTTTGGGTTTTTTGTTTCCCCCACTCTATATCTTCAGGCCATAGCATAGTGCCTGGCATATAGTGGGTGTTCAGTAAATACATAAATATTTGCTAAATTGAATAACTGCTAAGCAAACAGAGTAAGTAAAAAAGGCAAACAAATCACTCCAAAAGCATAGCAAGTCCGATCTGCTTAATAAAAATAACTTCCCTGTTTGTAGAGAGTACCGTAACTGCACACATATTTCCAAGTAATCCAAGAAAGTTCTGCTAGGTAATGGTGTAGTCCATTTTGAAAGCAGTTAGAAAGTTTGTTGGTCCGAAGAGGAAAGCCTTCTGTATTTGGAGACCCAGATATTCATTCATTCAAATTTTATGAAGCACCACTAAGTTCCAGGTCTATGCACAAGGGATCCATCCGTGAAGCAGAAGAATCCTTCCCTCATGGAATTTATATTCTCTACTAAGTGACTCCTTCCCCCAAAGACTCTGAAAAAATCAAACTGTTACTATATAATCATTTGAAGCTCATACTGGGAAAATCTTTGTGGAACTAAAGTCTATGATTAATTTTCTTTTTACTTTTTATTATTTTTTCTTGCAGAGTATCATTTTTAAAAATTTGCTTGGATTTTTATGGATCATTTGCTATTTTTTTCTAAATGCTCCAGCAAATCTGTTAAAGACTTATTCATCTTTTTTCCATATGCTCAGACAACTCAAATGATTTCTATCATTTCATTTTTTCCCCTGGACGTCTTCCTCCTGCAACTCTCTGTCCTCCAACTCCAAGCTGTGCATGGCTGGTGTCCTGAGACTTCTCTTTGCTGCTCTCTTGTATAGGAGCTCCTGTATCCTCAATCCCATGGTTTCCCCCTTGGTAGGTTTCTCATTTATTTTGCTAATGAATACCCTCCAGCAACTGCCTAACAGAAGAAGCAAAGGACTACTTCTTGACATTGTATATTAAAATTATGTTCATTCTACTTTCACATTCGATGGTTTCGGTGGATATAGTTTTATTTTTTGAAAATAATTTTCCCTCTAAATTTCGAAGGTATTGCTCCAAAGTCCTCAGCATCCAGAAGAACTACTGAGAAGTCTGAAATGATTTTGATTAATAATCCTGCATATATGACCCTTTTTTATTCTTTCTGGGGGCTTTTAGGAAATGTGGCAGTACCCTTTGCATGGGGGCTTTTTTTTTTCTTTTTTTTTTTAAATTTGATTGTGTGGCCCTTTTCAGTCCAGAAAAGTGTGTTCTTCCATATTAGAAAAGTTTTCTGTGATTCTCCTTGGTAGCCTCTCTTCTGACTTCATTTTCTAGAACACTTTTTAAAAATCAATTGTTGGGCCTCCAGATTGTCTCATTTTTTATCTTTCCAATTTTCCATATGGATGTGTTTTAGTTCTATGAGTGGATAATTGTATCCTCCAAGACTTTTTTTGAATATTGCATTTTGGTTATTCATAAGTTCTAGGAACTTTTTCTTCTCTTCTGCTCATTCTTTTTTCACAACACATGTTTATTATTTAATGATCACAATAACTATCTCTATGAGGGTATTAATTAAATGATTTCCTTAAAAATGTTGTTTCATTTAGCCTTTTCCCTAACAAACTAATTCAAAACTTAAAGGGGTTAAAACAACAATTTATTGTTCCTCATTATTCTATGGGTTGATTGGGTTTTTTTTTGCTGGTCTTGTCCGTGCTCACTCAAGTGGGTGCGATTGGTAGGCAGGTTGGCCCAGGGTGAGGGGTGGCAAGGATGTCTTTCATCCAGGTTACTTCTCAGCAAGATGGCCTCAGGTGCAATCGAACTTATATTTTTCAGGAAGGAAGAAAATTATTCAGTTTTTAGTGTTATTACAGTTAGTATTGTTAACATAAGTGAAATCAGTTAATGGGACAGTAAGTTTGAATGTCTTATGTGTGGCGCTTCTTATACTTTATGTAAATTACAGAGAAGCTTCCTTTTACCATCAAGGGCCTTTGCACCCATTTTACAAAATATTTATAAGAATCCATATGTTTTAAAATTAAGAAGGAGTCAGGAGACCTGGATTCTGAAGATTTGCTGAATAAATGCATCTGCCATGAACTGATGATGTTACTCTGAGTCATTTGATTCGATTGTCCTAGATATTTTCATCTGTGAGACAAATGTTTTTAATTCAGTTACCTGTAGCCTCTCTTTCACCTCCAGAGTTCTATTGCTTTTATAATGATGCTACTATTTCAAATTACTCTAGAAGTTAAATTCAGTGCTTCAGAGGATAAGTATATGGGTAAAAAAATTAATGCCCTTCAGTAAAAACAAACTGGCTGAACATCTTCACATGAGTTGTTTCTGGCCTCACCTGGATCCTGAGCCTCAAAATCTTATCCACATCATCCACCTACCCCACCCCATCCCTGTTTATAATGATATTTTTTTCCCTGTGTTATATACAACTTGTCAGTTTTATGTTTCATTCAATATCAAGTCGTTAGTTAATGACACAACTTCCATTTCAACATCATTTCTTTGGAAAATATACTTACAGAGGTCTGGGAAAACTGTGATAAACAGAGAAGACAATTTATATATGTATCTATTGTTTATTTTACCTAAAATTACTATTACTTTGCTAGAGCTGCCATAACAACGTATCACAGACTGGGTGGCTTCAGCAACAGAAACTTATTTTCTCCCAGGTTTGTTTGGGGGCTGGAAGTCCAAGACTAAGGTGTCAGCAGTACTGTTTTTTCCTGAGGCCTCTCCATGGCTTGCAGATGGCCACTGTGTCCTTACATGGTTATGTCCCTGGTGTCTCTTCTGTGGCCAAATTTCCCTTTATTTTTTCCCCCCCAGACAGGGTCTTGCTGTGTCTCCCGTGCTGAAGCAAAGTGGCGCCATCATGGCTCGTTGCAATCTTGAACTCCACGGCTCAAGGAATCCTCATGCTTTAGCCTCCTGAGTAGCTGGGTCTACAGGCACATGCCACTGCACCCAGCTAATTTTTTATTTTTTGTAGAGACAGGTTTTCACTATGATGCCCAGGTTGGTCTTGAACTCCTGGGTTCAAGTGATCCTCTTGCCTTGGCCTCCCAAAGGGTTCGGATTACAGGTGTAAGCCAGTGTGCCCATCCTAAATATCCCCTTCTTATAAGGGCACCAGTCAGATTACATTAGGACTCATTGTAACAGCATCATTTTTACTTTATCACTTCTTTAAGGCCCTGTCTCCAAACACAGTCCTGTTCTGAGATACTGGGAGGTTAGGGCTATAACATTTAAACCTTGGGAGGACATACTGTGGCCATAACAAATACTTAACATATTGTTCTTATTTATTTGTCAATTTTGATTAGGTCACATTTAATATTTAAAAATGATGTCATTAGAAATAATTGATTTTTTTACATTTAAAAATGAATGCAACTAGAAAGAAGTCTGGATCAAGATTTGCATTTGTGGCTAGTCCAGGTCCAAAAATGTTGCTTTCAGTTTGTCCAATTACAATCTATTCAAGTCAAAAATGAAAGCTAAATTCCTATCTTAAAACCATTGAACTTATCTGTGTAAACAATTCCTTATCTGTAAATAAAGTTATTAGATTACAATAGCACCTCCCCTATCTTGAACCAGAAATCAGAATCTCTAAGGTTGAGGTCCATGTTTTTAACAGCACCCTGGTGATTTTGATGTACATATAACCTTGGGAGTCATTAGATTAGACAAAACAGTGATACCTAAACATACTCATAATAAATTACTCATTTTTAAAAATAAAACAGTGGAAATGCCCATCTAATCTCTTATATCTCGATGGAAGTATAACAATTCTACTTCTTTGCTTTTCTGCACTGAAAGAGAAAACAGAACCAAGTGTTAGCTGGAAATGGGATTTCAGTGGAATTGCTGGGTAGTTGCTCTACAGCAGCATAATCATTGTATATTAAAACAATAGTATACAAAATGAAGGTTTAAATATTGTAGTTATTTAATGCGAAATTTTGAATTAAGTAAAGAGTACAATTTTTCTAAAATAATTCTTGGTTTGTTTTCTGGAGTGAGGTGTTCTGTAGATAAGTAGCTCTATAACTGTTCTTTCCATAGACATTTGAGTGGGCAATGCAATATAGTATAATAGGTAAGAATGTGGGCCTAAATGATGTAGACCATTGGCTACTACAAACGAAAAAAAAAAACAGAATACTTTGGGCCAATAGCTGTTATTAATTAATTACCCCTTTAACTACTATGCTTATAAATCCAGACATATGTGAAAACATGCACATTTAAATTCATGCATTTCTAAATTATTTTGGTGAACTCCTCATGGATATTAAAATTACAGAACTTTCTGGATAGAATACAGCTTAGAGGACATTTAATCCGACTATTTTATTTACAGGAGAGGAAAATGGGGCACAAAAAATTGTGAGTCATCTAAATTAACCCACAATCCAGATTATTTTTCTCTTAAACTCTGAGTTTGTTTGTCTTGTATGCCGTTCTTCCTTGGTCTTGAGCCTTGATTTTTGAAAATTACTAAAATATATGTGTTTTATCTATGTGTATATATATGTGTGTGTGTGTATATATTAAGTATAGGTATGTATATGTTATAGTTTTATTAGGTACAGATATATATATTTATTCACTCAGCAAATCTTTAGAAACCAAGTCTTCTGACTCCTTCATTTTACCACATATGACTTTACCAATATTTTATAAAATGGGTGCAAATGCTCTTGCTGATAAACAAGGAACTTGCATGTAATTTACCTAAGTTGTAAGTACAGTAAACAAAAGATTCAACTTACTGTCCCATTAACTGACTTCACCTAAGTTGAAGATACTATAATAATATTAAGAGTTGAAATAATTTTCTTCTCCCCTCCCTGCACATATATATATATATATATATCTGTTCCCAATAAAACAAGATAAAATAAAATTACAGATCAGAAGTTCCAAATGGGTAACCTGCAATTGGGCTTTGCTTGTCGCACACTGTTAAAATATTTTCCATATTAGTAGTAAGTATTTGAAACGTGTGAGATTTCATATAAAAATACACGTTAAAAACATCTTCTGAAAGAAATAAAAAAACCTAGATCTGGCAATCCAGAGCCCACATATCTTCCTGGTAAACCATCAGGAGAAAACGGGCAGCAGTTGCCCCTCCTCAGACAGGGCATTTGCCTTCCAGTTCACCTTGGACCCACTGAGTCCACAAGGCTGAGACCAAGGGCCAGTTCTCTTGTTCCTCACTCCTTCACTCTTCTTTTTCTGATAGAGTTAACAGGGACTGGAAATATTTCTTATACTCACTGGTCTTTCAAAATTAGGGGGGAATAAAGCATATTTCAGAGAAAAAAAAAATTGTTCCTTCACATCTCCCAGTAGTTCATTTAGATTTTGCGTCTAGTGTTTGGGTCCTTTAAGTGTACAATGCGTGCCAAAGTGCAGTGGATTCAACTTTTCTTCTACATCATCACGCTTGAGGTCAGCACAGACTCCCATTAGTAACAATGATGGTACTTTGAGATGGGTGGTGGGAGGTGCCCAAGGAGAAATATGTTAGCATTGTAGGCAGGTAAAGGCAGGGTGAGTGAAGTCTGAAAAATTCCTCTCCACTTTTGATCTACTTCTCTGGGAAGGATGCACTTTCCCCCTGGTCTTTCTATTTAAAAATTACTGTCCTCTAGTATCACTTTAAAACAGAATTTCAGCTCTAAAACTCCTCTTTATATATAATGTAAAACTGAATATCTACTCCTAAACTAGATATTCTATTGTGTGTTCAATTTTGTTAGTCACCGTTAGTATATACATGACCTCTTAGACTAAATTCACTTTTTAAATGTTCCCAACATTTTTTAACTCTTTGATTTTGGAGAAATTCCTTTGCTTTATTAAAAGGAAATAATAAGCTTACCTAAGTGAAAAAATCAGCATCGACTTTACTGAAAGTTTCTGGAGATAATATAAACCGTAAGATCAAAAGATGAATGGCTGGGGGAAGATCCAAAATTCAGTAGGCACGACCTGGAAATCTCAATTAAAATCACAAAATAAATACTCTTAATGATCCACACCACTACACCACTGTGAAAGCATTTCCTAGGTTAGAAAACTGAGCTTTCACAACTCATAGAAATAAATACCTTGCTAATTTCCTCAGTTGTCTTCCATTTAACAGAGCCCAGGATGCCATTAATGTCATTGCACTGGAAGGAAATTCCAAGCACTCCACAAAAGTTCATATTCAGTTGAACTTCAGATAAACCATTTTTTTAAAGCAAACGTAATATAAAATAACCATTACTAGATTTAACTTTTTATCTTAGAACAGAATGCTGAAAATTAATGGCCTGGAAGTCAAAATCGATATTCAGTGAAGCCTTACTAGTTAGGGATGAGATTATTCAAAGAACTACCTTCAAAGTTTTAAACATTCCCTCATCAACTCATGACATTAAAACCTGTACCTTTCTGCTGCCGATCCCTCTTAGTAGCAAATCCCTTTAATAGATCCTGTATCTGGGTCTATAACAATTAAATTGCCTTCAGCTCTATTGTTTGCTTTTAAATGAATTGAGAATCTTTGATTACGTATAAATTCAAGAAGACAATGGTTACTTATAAATAAAGTAAACTGACCATTCCATAATTCTTTTCTTCTTTTAAATAAAGTTGTTTGGGGGTGGTAAACTGGCTAGCAGCTGAGAATTCTTAAAGTTAACCATCTATGTTAGAAATAAATTGCAATTTCTGCCCAAATAATAAATGTCTTAAAGTCCTTGCTGGGAGTTACAGAAAAAAAAAAAAAAAACCAGAAACAATATTAACTGTTATTAAAAACTACCTGACTAATTATGTATAACACAGACAATAGTAGCAGAGCTGGGCATGGTAGCTGAGGTGTCAGGACAGATTCCTGAGTCCATGGAACCAAAAGAGGGCTAGGACCAACTCATGCAAAGGTTTTTGGCTTATTTGTTCTTGCTGAAGGGCTTGAAAAATCTTTTTCCCTAAACTTATTTCTTGAAGCTCTGAATTCAACTTCAATGTTAATTAGAATGGGTAACTTTATTATAGAAGCCATGGAACAATGGAGGTGGAAGTGTGGCTATAGGTAACTGAATTAAAAACGTCTGTCTCACAGATGAAAATATCCAGGCAAAGGGAATTTAATAACTCACTTATAGTAACACCATTGGTTCATGGCAGGTACATTCATTCAGCAATCTTTAGAACCCAAGTCTTCTGACTTCTTCATTTCATCTCATCTGATGTCCTTATACATATTTTATAAAATGGGTACAAATCTCTTGCTGATAAACAGGAAATTTTCATGTAATTTATATGAAGTATACACACCACACACAAAAGATTCACATTTATTGGTCCCGTTAACTGACCTCACCTAAATTAAAGATACTGTAATAACACTAAATGTTGAGTAAAAGTAATTTTCTCTCTCCCCCTTGCTTAGAAATGATTTGTAGAACTTATTTGGATGATGGGTATCCATTTAAAAGGAGGAAAATTTGAACTACGACCTTCTTCCTAAGCTATATGTAAAATTATGACTTTGTCCTAGTGTGATCCTCATCTACATGCATAGTTTTCCTCAAAGTCATCTTTTATATTTATCACCATGGAAGAATGGTTGCTGCCCTGGATGTGTGCCTGACCACCATGAAAATGGCAGATGCATTTCCAGAAGTTACGTCTTGAATGTTTTTCTTTGTATTTTCTTATTGTCATTCATGCTGACTATTAGAATAGTAACAGCCACTTTTAAAGTAGCAAAGTCCTGATTCAGAAGTGAAATTCTATAAAGCTCTTCAAATAGTTCACATGGTTTGAAAAAATTAAGCCAGCTCAATGGAGTGGAAGTGTTACTCCCTCACTCCCTATGGTTTCTGAAAAACCATTAGCAACACATGTCTCCTTTGAAGCATTTATGCTAACATTATTTTCTTTGGTTTGTTTCCCAGTCCTGCTGCCTTTCTTACAAATAACACTCGCAAAGATAAACTTAACTGCACATAATGAGGAGAAAGGTTGTCTGGTTCCTTTGTGGCGTTACAGTTGCCAAATGCCTAAGAGGATGAGCAGCAATTGCACACTCAGCCAGTGGGTCAGAGAGACAAAACCGTGGTGTCAGTACTGACCCTCACAGAAGCATCATACCCGGAAGATGCACATTTGAAATGCTATATGGTGGTGTTTCTGTGAATACATTTTTGGAAAGCCGAATTTAAAATGTGTATATATGTACCTATACTTCAATACAAGTGATGGTGATTCAGTTTTTCATTTGCCCACCTTCCCTCCACATATTTAACAAAACCATGATTTGTTAATAGTATTACTTTTCACCACTCACTATTGTGTCTTATCTCTAGAACTTAAAGAACATTCATTTTTATTGAAATCATTTCCAGTAGGGAAAAACTAGGTCATATGCCATGCCAGGACCAAGACTTGAAATGAGATTTGACATAACTCATAAGCCATATTTTTATGTTAATCAATTAGAATTTTGAAGAGTGAATCTCCTCCAGCAGAATGTGTTAATGCAGCTATTCTGGGGAAAAGAGTAAAAAGAGAATGCTTCTAGGAAGATTGCTTGGGAGGACAATCAAGTGGTGTCCCTGCATGTTAAGAGGTTTGAAGACACTGGGAACCAGAAGATGCAAAGACTTTACAGAAGAGTAGGAGCACCCAAATAAAAGAGGGCAAGAACAGGACAGACCAACTGTGTTAAAATAAATGACTTTGTCATTACCAGGAATACTGTCATTGACATGAGGATGCAATTATAATAATCATATGATGCACTAGACATTTCTTCAGACAAGATAAGCTTTGAAAGTCACAGAGTTGCCTCTCTCAAAAGAAGGTAGCAAGAATAGATGAAGAACGATTTTATGGTGAATTTACGTTGACTTGAGTAACACCAACCTCTGTTCTACCTACTCTAATTTTTCTACCCAAAATATGTATAATAATGACATGGTAGTAATGCAATTGCTGGATGAGGGAAAAAAACAGTCAATGAGGAATAAAAATGAAAGAAAAATTGAAAAGGAGTAAAAGGAATAAAAGTATTTTTTGTATTCAACTACATTGTATTTCATTTGAATAAATATCACTAATTAAACAATAAAACAAATTATGTAAATATCACTTCAAAAATATTCCCTTCCAGGTACATTTATCTCATTTAAACCTAACAATAATCTCAATTGTTTCTTTAGTTTTCAGAAAGATGAGGAAATGTGCAGAGATTAGTTAATGACTTGGCCAAAGTCTCCTTGTTAATGAAGAGACTAAAAGAAAATGCATGATCTCATTGATTTGTATCTCATAAAACTAAATCCCATGTTTTTTTAAATCACAACAAAATATGCTTCCTTCTAATACTAATGTTTATATGCATCACAATCTATATAAGACACTTAGGTTTAGTGTGAAACAAAAATTAAAAGAACTCCACAAAAATCAGTGGCCAGAAAAGGTGATTTAGAAAGCCAGGCCTTGTAAGGATCCTGTCATACATCCAGGTGTATTGCCCAGATGGCACAGGTATAAAACCTATGAAATGGGAAAAATGAGATCGTGAGTGCCATTACGACTGTTCTACATCTATAATACATTTATCCCAAGAGGCAGTTGTACAGCTGTTAACATATATGGGCTTGTATTTTCACTTGTACTTGCAAAGATATTTAAGATTTATGGTGATGGGTATCCTTCCTCTATAAAGACTGCAAAATAAGGAAATTTACCAAGGGTATAATCAGGTGATGAGATGTATTTGCCAAGGATTATTACAGCAAATGAATAAGTAAGATAGTAAGGCTTCTTCATCATAGGAACCATCTACAGAAGAAGTAAAAATAAAATTTTTGTTACTTAGTTGGTTTATTCCGTTATTGTGTTGTCTTTCATTAACTGTGCTGCATAAGAAATGGAAACATTTTCAGAGGAAAGGCATTTAAATATACATCTAACTTGAAATCACTTTTTGAGCTCTAAGTAAGAATTTTTCAACCATAAATGGCAAAAACTTTTTTTGCAGGGGTAAGTTATGATATTGCTATTGCACAATTTTAGTTAAAAATATAATCTTACCAGTTTGCATGGTTTAAAAGTGATGTATGTTGAAACTTGCTCTTAAAAAGTCTTTTAAAATAAATATTGGAGGTAGTATTAGTTCCCATTCTTGCTATAACAGCCACAAACTTAGTGGCTTAAAGTAAGACAAATTTATTATCTTATAGAGATTAGACGTTGAAATGGGTTTTACCTGGTTAAAGTTAAGGTGTCATTAGGGCTGTGTTCTAGAGGATAATTTGTTCTCTTCCCTTTTCCAGCTTCTAACAGCCACCTGTATTTCTTTTCCCCCGGCCCCTTTTCCCATCTTCAAAGCCTGAAGCATGGCGTCTTCAAATTTCTTTCTGACTTTGCCGTCTCCCACTTTTACTCTTAAGGATCCTTGTGATTATATTAATCCCACCTTGATCATCCAGGATAATCTCCCCACCTCAAGATCTTTAACTTAATCACACTTGCAAACTCTCCTTTGCCATGTAAGGTAGACATTTGTGGGTTCTGGAGATTAGGATGTGGACATCTTTGGAAGGCCATCATTGTGCCTACCACAGAGAATGAATACATTTTACTTTCTTATGAAAAATTGATTTATCAGCACTATCACCTTCATATCCTAGCTGAAATTTTAAAAACTTGAAGTATATGTTCTATCTCAGTATCACAAGTTCAGTATTGAATTCCAGATCCTATGCAATGGTTGACATATTTATAATGGTCAAAAGTGTTTGTTAGATGATGAAAAACAATTCTCAAGAAAGAGAGCAATGTGTTCAGATTTTAGCTCTTCTCTCCATCGTAATCACAGAATTAGAATTCAGCAAGTGCTAGGCAGAATATCAGTGTTCTTTAAGAGAAGCTTTCTCTGTTTTTTTTACTTAGCAGCTCCCATGATTATCAGGAAATAAATCAACTGTCAGCAGTCATAGACAGCTATTTAAATCTGAGGTTTGAACATCTTAATTGGTACGTTAAAAGTTAAAGAGCCAGAGTCATGTTAGATACATAAAACTGCTTATGTGCATAAACTATAGTACAGTATTCCATGGTTAAGAAAGACTCACATTGTTTTCTGCATTGAATTAACTTATCTTGAGACTTTTATTTGGAAAAATTAAGAAAACTAGAACTAAAATCTTAGGAAATTTTGCAATACAAAGCAATTGTCCAATTGTCCATGGCAAATTGAAAACACTCAAAATTAGTAAACAGAAAGCATGTCTGTTTGTAGGCATTGTAATTACACATCAAAATTGTCCTTTAGCGTCAACTGACCTGAGAATCCACGGTTGTTTACATTCAATGTAATTAAGCTTAGTATACTTTCTTTTTTGTTTAACATTTTTGGACCAAATAATTTATTTTTCTAAATGGGCATGTTAAGTATTGGAATCATCTCACTTTTTGGAATCTGTATGGACTTTGAGATCATTTTGACAAGACTTTGCAACATAGAATTCTTCAGGTTTCCTTCACTTTCTTTAAAACCACAATCACTGGGGGCAATTAACATGGATATGAGTTCTTTGTGCCATAGAGTGAGTTGCTGAGAAAGAGATCCTACTCATCCATTAGATACACAATTAGTTTTGGACAATGTAATTCCTAAATTCTAAAGTCTCCTTTAAAATCCATTAAGATATACTATCCTCCCAAACTAGTTAGTTTCACTAAGAAACAGTTTTACAACCTATCCAATTAATGAATAATAGCCTTACTTACATCCAGTAAAACTATCTCTGTCTATATTTCCATGTTATTATCAGGTATCATACAGAAACTTAATTTATAGAACAGATTGTTATTTTAAATATTATTTTAGGGTACCAAATAATCAGTGAAATCTTGAAAGTTATAAGAACTTTAAATTTTGTAAACTATTTTTTTAAAAGCATTATTTAATTATATCTTGTAAAAGATAGTAAATATGTTGTTGAACGGGTTCTTAGGTTAAATTTTGATTTAATAATGGAAGTAGCAATTTTTTCTCCATTGAACACATTTTTAACAGAGGTAATTATTCATTTCACAAAAATTCTTTTTGTATTCAAGTTTCCCCATAAACTAAAGATGTTTAAATGTGGAATATTCCCATGCCAACTACTCAATTAAAAATGTGTGGGTTATCTATTTTTGGGATAATTTATGTCAATTTTAAAATCCTGGGTTAATTAAATTTGACCCCACATCCCAGCATGTTATTGGATATTTATTTAAGGAATGCAAATAAGTTCAAATCTAATCTTAATATTAACCACTGCTTATGTAATTAAAAAGCAGAATCGACAAGGGAATGCACTTTGAAGTATACACACACATACACGAAATGTCTGTGATAATCCATAAAATGCCCTTCTATGTGTGTGGATAATTTTTAAAGTTGGTGAAGTGGAGTTGTCACTGGTTATTTTTGTAATTGCTTAAAAGCAACTTTTTAGAGCTTTAAAAAAAATTTTCCTGATCACAAGCGCTCATTAGACTATTTATATTGCAATTAAACATAATATTTTTATCGCAAAATACAAACTTTACTTTCCCAGTGTTATATAGTTACTAGAATATTACTTCCAGTTCTTATGGGGGCATATTTGTTCTTTTTAGAATAGCCAGAGAGCAGAACTGATTATCAAGTGAAGAGTTGCAACCACTCTGAAAACATTCCCTGACTTTGCAATGTAATAGTTGCATATTTTATAAAATCATGCACTGCTTTATAAAATGATTTAAGGTAATTGCTTACCAATATATTTTATTCTATTTTAAAATATTAATTTGAATGTATCCAACAGCACATTTTAGTTTCATATTTTCACTTGTCTACTGGATTTATGACACTCTTCACATTTTAATCATACACATGCTATCTTTTCAAATGAAGCTTTTTAGCAACATTATTTAATTTTTAAATACGCTCCTTCCCAAATTTGAAAGTTTTAAAATATTATATATCTATATAGATACATATAATAATGCTCTCACTAAATTCAGAATAGCCATTGAATATTGCAACACGTTGGCTACCACCTACTTGCTAAGTATGTGATATGAACCATGACATTACAATCTTAAAACTGTAACAAGAATGAGTTATGTTTGTACTATTTCCCATTCTCATTATATTCTTTGTCACACAATGAATTAATGTTGTGCCATTTTCTATTCTCATTACAATCTTTTCCTTATGAATGGGGTATCAGAATTTTAATGTCTTTTGTAATCTGTGAAATATAGTAGTATGTTTTGTTATACTACTATGACCTTGCTAATATTTTGCATTTTGATTGGTTAGCCCAAGCTGTAATATACAGGGTAAGGTTAGAGTGATTGGCCAATGAAATAATTCTTATTGTTTTTGACTGTTTTAATAAAATGAGTTTAAGAAACATTTTTAAAACCTTAATTTTTACATGCTTAAAAAGTGATAACCTTTGGATAATAGGCAAGTACATTTCTGTTTAGAAACCACATAGTGACTTTTCCACATAAATTGAGTGTAATGTAGATTATTTAAGATTATAAGAAAATGTTAAAAATGTGTATTCCTGCAGATTGCATTGCTCTTTTATTTACTTTTTTTCTGGTTTGAATGCACATAAATGTGCATAACAAAATGGTTTCATTGTTTTGTCTGTGCCTGTATCTACACCTTCCTGTCAGCTGGTCATTTGAAAAGTTGTACCGCTGCTAAATATTTTGTTGCTCTGTGAGATTCGCTATTATTGTTATATGTTGTAAATTTAAAATCTTGTCTTATATTTCCTCAGGTTATAAAGTATTTCTGTACAATTTCTAATAAAATAATATTTTTAAGCGAATGACTTTGAGATAAGTAAAATCCGGATTTTTTTTGCTCCTAAGCTTCTTTTATAAGATTGTTTCTGATTGACATTGTCACATTTATATTTATACCTTCATTTGTCCTAACCTCATTTGGAAATAGATGTTCACAGCATGGGAAATACTTGATGTATAAGACTGGCTGCTTTTAGAAGAAAGTTTATGACAGACAGGTATATTGCTATATGTTTGTTGGGGGTTTGAAAACAATACATAAAGTTATAGAGGAATAAACAAGGCAAATACATGGGCAGTTGGAAGTGAAAATTGTAACTAATATAAGATGTCTTATTAGAGCATTCATTTATATACTGCATTCTAACTACTTTTGGGGAGTAGGACTACAAAAACAGTAGAGCCATAGATGGAGAAGGGGAAGATAAAATACCAGTTCAGTAAACTCCGATGGTCTCATGTTTTAATGAGTGCCCAGACCACTTGGAAGTTATAGGCAAATTCTCAGTATATTATAGACACTAAGAAATTCATCAAAATTTTGTCTTAAGTTATTGTTCAAACAAATATTCCATTGGCCCATTCTGTTTCATTAAATAGGATGTTAGTGACAGCCTTTTGATGGTGAAATGGAAGTATCCAAGAATATTTTTTATTTCTAGAGTCCCAATTTTTGGAAGTTGCTTATAAATATTTAAATAAGTTGCTTCATTTATTTTAATTACCTTCTTTGTCTGATTCAAATACAAAAATCTGTATTTTGGTACTACATTTTACCACCTATAATTGTTCTTTTCTTCATCCAGTCATTCAAAAACACTTACGTGTGATTATTTCTACTGAATGTAGAGCTATATATTGTAACTTCTAATGCATTGATCAATTTTATTAGTAAGAGTGATCTGTTGCTCAAGAATTGGAACTATTATCTTTATGCCGTTTATATACACAGCAATTTCCAGTATTCATGTTAGCAAAAACAAAGCTTTCCCAAAGGCTTATGATGGCACTTACAAAATATAAAAGAAAGATTCAGAGACAAGAAAGTTCATTTTATTCACAATCTACTCTAAACCTGCTGTGTCAAATCTGAGAATTTCCTTACTCTTTGGGAGAATAAAAGAACTTTATCACGCTTAAACATCTTTAAGTGTGCATGAGGCTACTTCTTTCTAGTAAATCTTTTATTCAGCAAATCATCCGTTCTTCAGAAATAATGTAGATTTTTCCAGCAATTACAAGTTTAAAGTTTGGCTTCACATATTTTAGTGCCTTTTATTGTTTATAGTTGGAGCGCTCTAGTTTGCTGAATTCTGTTAAAGATAATGCAGGTATCGTGTCTATTTTTCTAACTGCAAAATATCTTTGGTATGCAATATTTATTTTAGCCTTTTGTATTGGCATTTATCATTCACTATTTACATTAAACATTTTAAAGTAAATTATGTCACTTTTTTGCCTTTAAAATAGTAAACATCATAGGGGTTTATTACCACATTTTTTCCTTGTTCATTTTTGAATGGCTCTTAAGTTTTTTCATTTCCTTCCAAATTGACATTTCATTAAATAAATTTCTAGATTTTTCAGAGATCAACATGCCTAAAAAAGAGTTGTCACAAACAATTTCTTATACTTTGCTGATGAAAAAATATTGGCTAACTTAAAAATCAAATCCATGCATCAAATGGAGTAGTAAAGAGAAATTAAACTATAATCATGGACAAATCAAGTCATACTCGGATCTTCATTAAAATATAATTTGCAGGATAACCTCAAGGTGCCTCAACAGTTATAGTAGCATCTAGGGATCAAGCTATTCAATAATGATACTTGTTCAAGTTGTCCTATATGATTAAGAGAGAACAAATTGTCCTGGTATCTTGCTTAGTTTCACTTAAGGCCAAATTTTGCCTTCTGGCTTGACCTCAAGGTTTCCGTGAACTCCAACAAAAGTCACGAATACACATCAAGGAAATAATTTATTTTCAAATGGAATAAAGAGAAAATGAAAGCATTGTGTGGCTGCTGCCTTTTAGGTAAATAAGCATATATGGTGATTATCTAAAATCTAGCAGACTTAACTCAGTCATGTTTTTCTAGATTGCATGCCTAAATAGTGATAAGATTTAACATGGTGTTTATCTGTTTCTATTCTGCTAAAAGAAAAATGGCTAAAATTTCAAAGATTAACTTTAGTGGCGAAGGATTAGTTATATATATGCATATTCACCATGGGTCATGATGAATTTTTCTCACCAGATTAGAAAACAGTAAGTTTAATTTTCATGAATGTTAATAAAGCCAGCATTTTTAGTTTTTTTCTTCATGCCAGCCACTCTTTTTTTTAATATACACAATTAATAAATTTTCACAACAGTTATCCAAAGTAGGAAGTATTGCTTTTGCTCTTCTACAGATGAGAAAACTAAAGCATAAAAAGAAGTAATGTAAATTTCCCAAGCATACACAATAAATAGGTGGTGGATATGAACTTTGAGCCCAGATAATGTGGCTTCAGAGCTTCTGTTCTGAACCACGAACCCACCTTCCTAAATCAAGAAAATATGTCACTGGTAAAGCTGTTTTCCCGTTTGTAGTATCAGCTGAAAAAGCCTGGGTACATTATTTCCAAATTCAGAGATCTGTGCCTTTAGGAATTAAATGGCCACTACACAAACCACATGTAATTCCCCAAATATGTTTAATTAGGGAAATATTTTTTGAAATATTTCCTAATACATTTTCCCTTCTCAGCAAACATCTTTCTTTTTTATTTTCCTGCAGTCTTTTTTCTCTTAAGGCAAAGATGAGAGAATATAAAGAAAATAATAAATGTAATACAAAGGAAATCCTTCTTTAACAGGAAGGGTATAGAGAGCTTTCCTTTTATCTAGGAGAGAGAGAGAGAGCAGGACAATCAGTTTTTTCCAGGAATGTCTTGTTTCCTGACCTCTCCACCCACTCCAGTGAAGTCTGCCAAACAATGAGAATGTTTTGAAGTAACTCCAGAGCTAGTTCCTCTGGACCTCAAGATCATACACTGAGAAAATTTCAAGTTATCTGATTCAGTCCCTGTACCAATATGTGGACCTGAATCCGAGCAGAAATTGGGGCAGGGCGAGGTAGAGAGTGTGAGAGAGCCTGACATCCCTTATTTCTCATGGCCTCCAAATGTCATGAAAGAGATTCAGAGGTTGTCATGGGATGCTATGGGAGTCTCAGAGAGTATCTGAGTGTGTCAGCCAAGAGAAAGCCACCATGTGGTGGTGCAAAGGCAGATTCTCCAGAATCATTGGCCAAAGGAAGACAGAGTTGAGTTTCAGGGGGCTAAGCCATGTCGGGGGGCTGACGGGAGGAACAGCTGCTTTCTCCAGGAGCCACACTCACACACACACTAGTCCATACAAAAAGAATTCCCACAAGTTATTGCAGCTGGATGACATCCAGATATCAGTCAATAAAATGACATCTCAAGTGGAGATCAGTAAAATCCTGTAGAGAAGGACCACACAGAGGCAGGACACCCCTTCCTTCCACGATGAAATTACATGAGCTTTCCTTGTGCCATCTGGAGGCTACCAGAGGAGAAACAAAGACGAAGAAGGGTGAAGAAACCTTGAAATATACAAGCTTCTCCAAAGAGACCCAGTTTATGTCAAGGCAGCGGGGGCTTATTTAGAACTTATTCAGTATTCTTTCTACTCTCCAGTGAAAATGATAGGGAAGAAAGGAGGCGTCCAGAGCAAAAGAAAATTCGTTTAAAAAATTCTAAAGCTTACATTTTCTGTGTGTTCTATAGTTGTGAGTAAATTCCTGTCTGTTGCAATATACACTATGGTGTTTACTATACTTTGCATGTATTGATATCTGCCTCTTAGAAGCCTATCCTTTCCCTTTATCTCCACCTCCCTGCCCCATTTTTTTGTTCATCTGTTGAGATTTGCTCCAAGTGACCCTTTGCCTTGTGCAAGCCTTCCAAAATCTCAGTTATGAAGCACACCTGATTTCAGTTCCCATAGAATCCTGAGTGTTCCGCTACCACTGTGTTTTATTGTAATTTGTGTTCTTAACTGTTTTCTCCCACTAGGCTATGAGTCTAACGGAAGAAACCATGTTTTGTCCATCCATGTGTCTCTACTCACTCGCACAATACCAGGTAGAGCAAATACAGATGAAAGATTGGAATTTTCAAATATGGCAGTCTGTTAAAAATATAAATTCCACACATGTATCCTTTTGGCCATAAGAATGATCACATTCGATATTTTTTCTTTTTTTTTGCAGGTAGATTAACATTTTATTTTGAAAATACAGTGTCACAAATAAAGACTTCTAACTTTTTATTATTATACTTTAAGTTCTGGGATACATGTGCAGAACGTGCAGGTTTGTTACATAGCTATACACGTGCCATGGTGGTTTGCTGCACCCATCAACCCGTCATCTAAATTAGGTATTTCTCCTAATGCTCTCCCTCGCCTAGCCCCCACATGCCCCAACAGGCCCCAGTGCGTGATGTTCCCCTCCCTGTGTCCATGTGTTATCATTGTTCAACTCCCACTTACCAGTGAGAACATGTGGTGGTTTGTTTTCTGTTCCTGTGTTAGTTTGCTGAGAATGATGGTTTCCAGCTTCATCCATGTCCCTGCAAAGGACATGAACCCATCCTTTTTTATGGCTGCATAGTATTCCATGGTGTACATGTGACACATTTGATTTTTAAAAAGAACTTTTGAAAGTGTCTTTGGAATATTATGTAATAGAGTCACTCTATTAAAACTCCTCAGGTCAAGCAATATTGGTGTACCTGGCCTTGTTTTTTGGCATGTAGAATGTTTGAACAAAAAGGAAACACTGAGCATGAGAGTCTAACTGTTGTTCAGATAGAGGAAGTGGGAATGACTCAAAAGATCACCCAGCCAAAACTCACAGCCTATTCATCTGGTGGCTGCAATAGCAGTTGTTCCCCTGGCCTCAGGAGAGCTGGACAACTCTTTTCTTTGCCCCTCTGTCCCAAGCACAGTTCACTTTTCTGAATTCCCCACAGCCTGGCTTACAGGAAGGGAAGCTCCTACCCCACAGACCATACTTAAAAATCCAGTGATGGTAGGCGTATAGTTATATGTTGATTTTTAATATTAGGAACTCTCTGTCTTAAAATATCAGTCTCTTTTTCTTTCTAAGATAATACATTTGGCAATCAAACTCTTTAGTGTTTATTTAACAAAACTTTGAGTAATTAAAGCACAATTATACCCTTTTGAGACTTAAAACTTGAAATAGAGATAGATATTTTTGGTATATGTGTATTTGGATTGAATACAGAGCCTGAAGCACTGTTGAAAATATCATCAAGCTTTAATAAACTTTACTCATGACTTGACTGCAGTTGTACATCCAAAGACAACAAATATAGTTCCTAATTAATTCACCTTAGAATAGCAACTATTTGTTTAAAATAAGCCATTTAGTGAAAATTATAGATAACTATTTGTAGAATTTTTAGTGTGTGGCTTTGTTAAAATTTTAACTGTCATAAAGAGACTGCATTTTTAAAAATTTGTGTTTGCAGATCCTGTACTATACTTGGAATTTTTCTGAAGCCATCTTACTGTTTTATTTGTATGTTATTCTGTGGTCTTACGGAAAGTCATTAGAAAAAATTAGCCAAATGAGAAATTTTTGATTTTTTTACCCTTTATTCATATATTTTCTCTAGTATATTTCCTGTGCCCAGAATTTTTTTTTTTTTTTTGGAGAAAATGTGGAATTTATTTTTATGTGCTTTTTTCCCCCTTGGCCGTTTCCACATTTAATTTTGAACACAGTACCCTCTTAAATGAGATTATACTTTACGTAAATCCTGGTAAAGTTTAGTCACTTTAGTCATCTTGAATTTGTCATCCAGTAAATATGTATCAAATAAATATCTACCATTAGGAAGCACAAAGACACATAAGACATGTTTCCTCCCTCAAGGAAGGGATCTAGTTTAAGAAATAAAGCACACAAACATACAAAATACACGAAACATACATAAATACCAATGTAAGGAATTTTATATGTTAGTTGAATGAAAAGTGAGAGGACTGGATGAAATTATCTCTAGTTTTTCAAGCTCTGCAATGCTGAAACTGTGTCATCAAGTTTATGGATAAGGAGTTCTTAGTAGGGGATGATCATTCTGAGCAATGTTCTCAGCATTAGATTAAAGAGGTTATTCGGGCCAATAACTCACTGTTCCCTGGAAGTCCTAGTTCTCTATTCTATACAGTTAGTTGAGTGGAGAAAATTGTTTGATATTCAGGTAAATAAATAACAATGCAGGTAACTAGGTAGGAGAAATGCTTTGAATGCATGTATAATAGTATGAATGTATATGGATGATTGTAGGATCATGAAAGAGTAGCCAGAGATGGCTGGAGTCAGCGTGAATGTTGAAAAGTAGTGGAAATAAGACTAAATGGGAGATGGGTCAAATTATGAAGAACTTTGAATACAGGGTAGGGAGTTTGCATTACATCTAAGAGACTGACATCTCTGGAATTTTGTGAGCATGAATTTCAAATTGGGCAGTGGTATTTTGAGTATTTGTTCAGGAGAGAAATTGAGAAGGTAACAGATATTTTGATAAAAGGAACATTCTGTCAGAAAACCACAAGGATCAAGGGAAGAATTAGGAATTTGCAGGCAGGCTTTGGTATTTCAATTTGTGTGGTTTCTAGCCAGCTCCCCCTAATGAATGGGATGTGGCAGTGAAGAGGGACATGCTGAAAGCTCCTAGTCATTCATATTCTCTTTAATCTGGGGCATTTGAAATGCAAGAAAGTGACTGGTATGGCAGCCCTCCCTGTGCATTTCAAATGTGTGAATCACAACATTGAAGAGGAGGAAGTGGCAAAGAATGTGGCAGTGTGGTTTCATGATCCATCTGATGAAAGTCTGTGATCAGCCTGTTGGAAACCCACCTCTAGGCTATGTGGCACCATTAGAGGCTTTGAGCAGGGAATGGACATGATCAAAGTTGTTTAATTTTACTTTTAAGGAATGAAATATTGGAAATGTAGAAACTAGTTGAGAAGCAATTTCAGGAGTCTAAATAAGAGGTGATGAAGGCCTGGACAAGGGCATGAAGTAACAAGACTGGAAAGGAAGGAACCAATACAGGCAGCTTCAGAAAAATGACTAATATGACTTGGTGGAGTAGAGGCATGGAACTGGCTTATACTTTGAACAAAACAGACCTCATGCATTTGAATTTTAAGTACAATACATACCAGGTATATGGCCTTGGCCAAGTTGCTTACTGAAATATTTCATATTCATTTTGAAATATTGTAAGCCCTGAAGAGGATGTATAACTTTATGTATTGAATATAGATGACAGTGATCATCATTATTTTTATTATTGTTACATCTGGAGATTAGATGGGAAGATGAGATGGGAAAATGGGAGACAGGTGATGTTTTTGCACCTCAGAAACTGAAAGAATTGTGGTACCATTCAAAGAACTAGGGAGGCAAAAGGTTGAATTAGTTCGAATGTATCCATTACATTGAATGACATTTTTCTTAAATTATCTTTAATCAATAGCTAGCATGGCTATACGCAAAGAAGTGCGTTTTCTTAGTATGAAATAGATTTCTCAAAAAAAAAAAAAAAACAGAAAAAATAAACGGACCTTGGAACACTCCGACAGATGATTTAGACTTTACTATGAAGAGGACTTCTGATGTTAAATTAGGCTTCTAAATTTAGTTTAAAATCCATTAGGCTACTTTGTGTCTTACTCATATATTGAATGTTTAATATGAGTTTAGCTAAACATAATGTGTTTCTATATTATACTTCACCAAATGATCTGCAGAGGCTACCATTGAAATGCAAGTACTTTAGGGGCTCATCATTAAGTTCATGTAAGAAGTGTCTTTCAGAAAGCAATCATTATGACTTACATCTAAAAATCCAAATGCTGTAGGGTACTGTGATTATCCAAATAAGAAAGTGGGCTGGAGTGCAACTGTACCCTTCTTGGTTTCAGTATCAAAATGGTTTTCGGAAGACATGTTAATCTCTGATATAGTTTATGACTTTGCATACATTTATCTTAGAAAAAATAATATTCTTAAAGGATTCTGTTATGTATAATTTTGGTCATTTTATCTTGAGGACTAATGGGAATTTCTCCATGGCTTCTTTTAAGACATTTTATTTTGTGTTGTGAATTTTGTTAAAAGAGCAGGTTCTGAAAAGCTCTGACAGCCTCTTCCGCAAAAGATCCAAGATTGTCAGCCATTGATGCAAAGACCTGAATCTGCTTTGACACCTCAGAATAGGCTTCTGGCAAAGTTATGTCTTTCTTTCAGATGTTTGGGTAAATCACACAACCCAGAAACTGCATCATACATTATGCCTAAGTCATAAACAAATGCTGCTGAGGTAAGGGTATTCCTCAGTCCACTGTACTTTGTTCAATGTTTTGAAACTATAGGTGTCACTTGAATACATCAGTAAACATTTCTTCAGGGTTTGAATATGCATTCAAAGTGGCTTCTATAGCTCTTTTATTTGAGTCACTTGAAAGAACTAAGCATCACTACCAATTCCAAGCAGCCATATTTTCCTACCAGTAAAATAGAAATGTAAAAATATGTGAAAAATAAGTATTTATGAAACAAAGCCTTCCTAATTATAGTTCAGTTGGGCTATGTTATAGGCAGAATAATGTCCCTCACAAAGATGTCTGTGTCCACATCTTTATTCCTGTAACTTGTGAATAAGTTAGGTTATGTGGCAAAGAGGAATTGAGGTATAATAAATTTAAGCCTACTAATCAGCTGATTTTAAAATAGGAAGATTATCCTGTACTATCTTGTGGATTCAATGTAATTGTAAAAGCCATAAACATTGGAGAGAGAGGTAACAGAGTTAGTGTCAAAGTGATGCAATGTGAGGAAGATTCATTTGGCCATTGTTGGCTTTGAAAATGTAAGGGGGCCACAAGCCAAGGAAAACAGGCAGCAACATAAGCTGGAAAAGGCAGGAAATCAACTTGTCCCTCAGAGCCCCAGCAAAGAGCACAGGCTCGCTGATGCCTGCATTTTAGCCCAGTGAAACCCATTTCAGACTTCTGACCTGAAAAGTAAGATAATTCATATGTGTTGTTTAAATCCACTAGATTTGTGGTAATTTGTTAGAGCAACAATAAGAAACTAGTTAATACTATTTTTAAAATAAGATTTATATGTGTCTGAATAATAAGGACAAATTTTTCTCAAATTTTAATTGATTAGAAACAAAGTTAAAATTTTCCATAAAATGACAGTGTTTACTCTTAACCTTCTATAAAACTTTGCATTTTGAGCAATAAATTAAATAAGATATAGCATTCTTCAACTTTTCCTTTCTATGAATTTAGTCTCAGATATTTAAAACTATACTACAAGATTGATTTTTTTACAGAAAACATGTTTGGATGAGTTCCATCAAATCTCACTTCTAATCTTTTTCTCCAGCAAAAATTTTAGTAATTGACAATTTAAAATTATTGAAAATTATGAAATAACATTTTTTGTTCCGGAGTGCATTTTCAACATATGCATTGAGTATATTATTGAAACAAAATAGAAAAGTAATATACAAAAAGTGCTTTGGTACATTTGGACACCTAACTATATTATACATGGGTAGTTTCTATTGCTAAATATGTATCAATAACATCCAGAGAGCTATAGAAAAATTCTCTCTCCCAGTACTATTCCAAAATTGCCACCCAGGAATATTGGAGGAAAATCAGAAAAATATGACACACTAGAATTGTAGCCTAAAAAAAATCAGCATAGAATGTTTTAGATTTTCCACCCTCAATTGTGCTTTGAAACTGTAATTGATGAAACTAGACAATCCTCTAAATTTAAAATAATATTTTTTACATATTCATTTGTTGCATTGTTTTGAGATCAGAAGTTATTCCTTACTCTTAAACTTTTAGTATGGAAACTTTTAAACATATGCAAAAATAAACAAAATTATATGAAGAGCCCTTATGTACTCGTCATTCACGTTTAACGATTATTAACTCATGGCCAATCTTGTTTTATCTACACCTCACTTATTTTCCTCCTCATTCCTACTATGTTTAAACAAATTTCACATTCATATAAATTAATATATATTGTAGCACTAAATTAAAAGGATTCTTTGTTTTAATATAAACACATTATCATTATCGTATCTTTGAAAACATCTTAATACTGTGAAATATCCAGAAAGTATTCAAATTTGCATTTCTCTCATAATGTCGTATTTTTGGCAATATGTTTATTTTAATTAGAATTCAAATAAAGTGTATGCATTTTGAATGATAGACTTGTGTCTTAAATAGCTTTTAACCTATACCTCACCCATCTCATTCTTTGACTTATAATTTGTTGAAGAAATCAGGCTGTGTATCCTGTAGCATCTTCCTCTCTCTGGATTTCGCAGATTGCATCTCCCTGGTGTAGTTTGAGTGTTCCTCTGTCCTCTGCACTTCTTGTTTATTGACAATTAGATCTAGAGGTCTGATAAATTCAGCATCAAGAGATTGTCTGACTGCCACACTGACAGAATGCATTTTATTTTTCACTGTTGCTTGTAAATGAGCAGCCCTGGCTCATTTCAAATTTAATCAGAGTGTAAAGCGTGGTCTAAGAAATTTTTCAATACCATGGTATCTTCCTTCCAAAGTCTCTTCTGATGTCATTTATGACTAGAATAGAAAATATCTTAATCCAGTCTATCATTTTTGGACATTTGGGTTGGTTCCAAGTCTTTGCTATTGTGACCAAACACCGCATGTTCTCACTCATAGGTGGGAATTGAACAATGAGAACACGTGGACACAGGAAGGGGAGCATCACACTCTGGGGACTGTTGTAGGCTGGGGGGAGGGGGGAGGGATAGCATTAGGAGATATACCTAATGCTAAATGATGAGTTAATGGGTGCAGCACACCAGCATGGCACATGTATACATATGTAACTAACCTCCACATTGTGCACGTGTACCCTAAAACTTAAAGTATAATAATAATAAAATAAAACAAAATGTCTCCTCCAGAATAATGGAAGTACTACTTTAAGAGAGAAAAAGTACACTTTTTAAAGAGCTCATAACTTTGCTTAAATGGGAGGTGACAATGGGTAATTTAAACGTCTTAATTTAAATAATAAAGGAAAATCTAAATATAAGATGTTTCTTTGTTAAGACTTTATCTCTGCCCAAGCTGACTTAGAAGAAATAGAAAGGCCATATACCAGGAAAGATTACTTGGAGCACAATAAGTGGTATGAAAAATAACTAATATTTACTTAGTGTTTACTAGGTACTGTTCTAGGTTCTGTATCAATATCTTCTTATTGAATTTTCAAAACAACCTCATTATACAAATGAAGAAGTTGAGAAAAGTTAAATAACTTGCCTGTGATCCTCTAGTGAGGGAATGCCAGAGCCAGAATACAGTCAGAAAGGATGATTCTGACATGTCCTCTTAAACTCCTTGCAAAATTGTCTTAAGAATCTGCACAGGAAAGGCAGACTTACATGTATGGGTAATTAAGAGCTGCACTGTTTTTGTTTTGCTTTTACAGATGTTGCCTATGAATTTTGTGTCTGAGTTTTGTTGCCTTTTGTTAACTGTAGGGTAAACCCAATCCATTCAAGTAGACATGTTTACTTTCTATTCCCCAGAGTCCAGAAAAGGGGGCTGCATGAATGCATCTTGGACTGTCAAAAAGAAACATAAATATTTGTGTACTAGTCATACACATTATTGCAGATATTTATCTAGAATTCTGTTTTTTGATGTTTGGTTTGTTCCACTTCTATACTGTGTAATTTATACATTCTAGCTACTCAAGAATTGGCAAAAAATGCATTTTTATTGTTTACTCTTAATCTGTAATTTTTTATTGTGTAATTTGGCACAAGGGTTAACATATATAACCTCACAAATTAGACATACAGTTGTAGGATTAGATCTCTCTTACAGTTTCTGCTTTCAAGATATAATACATACCAGTCCATGTGCTGAGAGAATTCTTTAAAGCAAAAGGTAAAGTAAGGATAAATGAATGTAAACTTTGGATCTAGATTCAAAGCATATTATTCTTCTTGTAACATCCATATTAGTGGGACACACACACACACACACACACACACACACTCAACTGCATAGATCTTCCTGTACCTTGAGAGGCACCATTGTATGGTAGAAAAATCATAAGCTTTGGAACCAAGTTGTTTTGGATTTGAAACTCTTCTCAGCCTCTAGTTGTACCTGTGGAGGTGCGTGGAACCTCTTTGAGACTCAGGTTTTTCTTTTTTACCATAAAATTGATACTATTAATGGATATTCATAACATGTGGGTAAGATACTTGATTCATAGTGGCACTTGGTAAATTTTAATTTTTATATTATAATTACCATTTCTACCTTAAAATTTCACTTTATATACTCTGCTTGAAGATTTCCTTTTCCCTCTTTCAAATATCTAAACTTCAAATATAATGTTGAGGCGTAACATTTAGAAAAACCAAGCATACCCTCTACCTCCCAAATGTGCAGGACTTGACACAATCAAATATTGAGTAGTCATTCTCAGTGAATAGAGCTACCAGAGGAAAATAGTGTAGTTTAGCTAAGTTTTCAATCTGAACTCAAACAATTGCTGTCTTTGGAACCTTAGGTAATTTCCATAAACTCGCTGAGCCTTGGTTTCTACATCTGTAAAAGGGGATAATACTGCTTGTATTATTAGGGTAGGCTAAGTTACTGAGATTAAAAAGCTACCAAAATATAATGGCTTAAAAATATACTTTATTATAGAGTTCCGTAGTGAGTGATCGAGGGTATTAAGGCAACTGTGTTTCATATAGTCATTCAGGTATCCAGGCTTCTTCCCTCGGGTTACTCTGCCACTTCCTAGGGTGATCATGTTATAGGCATGGTAGAAGTTGGGTAGCTTCAGTGTCTGAATTCCTGTAAGAATAAAAGGAAAATACATTGTGAATGTTGCTCAGACCCAAGTCTGAGGTTGTATACATTACTTCTGCTCAAAGTCCCTTTGCAAGAACTTCATCACATGGCAGTATCTAACTGCAAGAGAGTCTAGGAAATATCGTCTAGCTGAGAGGACATTTGATTGGAAAGAAGGGGATATAAATTTTTGTGGTTTACTATTAGCCTCTGTCATTTCTTCTTTCATAGGATTATTGTGAAGATTAAATGAGATTATCCATATGTACAGTGCTTTGCACCTTGTGACCACTGAAAAGTGTTAGTTGGGCTACATTTCTATTGTGTGATTCCAATGTCCTATGATGTAAGGCTTAAGGAATGAAAGGATAAAGTTAGTGGTTACCAACAAGAATATATTTAAACAGCCTGAGCAACATGGTGAGACTACATCTCTACAAAAAAAAAAAAAAAAAAAAAAAAAAAATTCAAAAATTAGCCAGGCGTGGTGGCATGTGCCTGTAGTCCCAGCTACTTGAGAGGCTGAGGTGGGAGGATCACCTGAGCCTGGGGAAGTCAAGGCTGCAGCAAGCCATGATTGTACTACTACAATCCAGCCTGACCAACGGAATGAGACCCTGTCTCAAAGACAATAACAACTAAAGAATACATTTAATGAGTAAATTGATGAAAATGTCTGAGAACTAGGGGCATTTTCTCATTTTGGATTCAATAAAGGGTTAGCTCTTACACATGAACTGAACAGCTTAATAAATTCATGTGACTTTAGTAAATCTCCTAACAGTTTAAATGAGTTAGACAGGAGTATTCTTGGTTTTGAGATAAGGAAAACAAGTGGAGGAGAAATTGGCCAAATATCACACAGCTGGGCAATGTTGGCACACGAAGGGAGCAGGACTTCAAACACAGGTATTTTAACTCCTGAATGCTCCGCCATAAATTGTTTGGTTCATTTCAAGAATGGGGAAAAAATCAAGACAGATTAAGAATGAAAATTGATTGACAATATACTTAATCATATTTGGGTACCTTGGATACTGAGTCAATTCAGGAGTAAAGAATACTTAAAAAGTTAAACAAGGGAATTATTTCTTATGTGTTATACCACTGCCACTAGTGGGAAAAAGTAATTGTTAGAAATTTAACTACAAAGGTTATCTTGGCATTGTGTTTTGTTTTATTTATAGATTGTCTTAATTAAGTAGTTAAAAATCTATTTGGTTTCTTGTTACAGGATGATCTCCTTTTCCATAAATTATAACATTGTCTATAACATTTTCTGAATAGTCTGAATAGTGGGGAATCTACAAAAGAAATCTGCAAATGGAAGAATGCATCCCTCAGATCAATCAATCAGAAAGGTGTTAGTGAATATCAGGGATTGTCGGAAATTTCAAAATTATGTAGAAGAAGATAGCAGAAAAAGAAATTAAGATGGTGGAAAATGCAATTCAATGTGAAAGTAAACAATTGAAAATGTTTTACTTTTGTAGAGCCAGTCATATATATTTTTTCAAATATATTTATATGTGCGTAGACACCACCCCACCCTCTACATACAATTTTTGTGCTTGTATGTACTCTTAAAAGACCAATAGATCTTAAGATGAGCTCTGAATATTGGTGGAGATTTGTATAGAAATAAAGAAATAGGAAGGACATTTCAGGTAGAGCAAAGAGCATGAAGAAAGATGAGAAGGCCGTCACATAATAAAGCTACCCTGATACTGAGAAACATTTATTTTGGAGCACTAAGGAGAAAAGTTGGAAATTAGGACACATAGTGGTTAAGGGCATAGATTTTTAGTCACAGAGTTTGATTTTTGTGTCTACACTTAATAACTGTGCAATCTTAGACAACTTTCATATCTTCTCCAAGTGTTTATTTTCTTTAAAAAATGGGGATAATAAAAAATAAATAGTATAATATACGTAAAGCACTTATCCAAATGCCTGGTCTGTAGTAGGCATCAAATAGCAATAGTAGTAACAATAATAATAGAATAATAGAATGTATTTCTCCTTAAGAATTGAGGCACTAGTAATCTCTAGCTTTCTGAGTAGTCAAATCAGACATACACACGTGACACATTCACATTTAGGAAAGATTTGTTTGGTACATGGTTGTCATAGAAGTTGGTGTGAGAGTATCCACCAGGAAGTTGTTAAACTAACCCCAGTGTTAGTTGTCCTGCGCTTTTTTTCTCTCAATTTCCTGCCTTTATCATTTAAAATTTTGCAGTGCATTACTGCTTATCAGGTAAAAGTTTTGAATATTTGTTGCTAAATCCTCTGGTTTTATACCAAGGCTTCTCATTTCTTCCAATGAGTTCTGCTGATGTGGTCCATTGTTTGTTGGGTGGTATTCACTTACCATCCCCACCCCACATTTGCAGAAGTATTCAGAAAAGACAATTAACTGATCTTCCTTTTCGTCCTGCCAGAAGACTAAGCCACCAACCCATGCCCCAACTAAAGATTTGTCTGAACTAGGATCCCTCTGAGCAGCCCCACAAGTCCTTCCTCTTCCTCTGACCTTTGTGTGGTTTGGGGTAGAGAAAGAGAAACCATGGTGCTCTCTTTTTATGCTTTTTCAAAGTACTGAATTGGAAAGTACTGAATCGGGTCCAGAGGTGGACCTGATTTTTTTTCCACATATGACATACCACAGTCGCTTTTCACTTCATAGCCTGACAACGTCTTTAAATCCAGATATTAAGCAGAAACCAGTGTCTACAATTATTACATCCTCCAAACTTGAAGGGACATTATCACACTTTCCTAAGGTCCATAGTAATTACAGCACCAGAAGGAGGCAGCAGATTTTCCACTCAGCGCACATCAGCCTAAGAGCTCTCATTTTTGTTGAAAGCCTTGTCCCTATGAGTGATTTTCTTGAAGTCCTCTCCAAAGTGACTTGGTGGGTTTTACCCTCCCTTTCTCCCCCAGAGGAAGGGTTGAATAAAGCTCCTCATCTAAAACACTACACTTTTTACAATGCAGAAGATGACTCATTTCTCCTCTTCAGTGTCTTCTGACATAGCCAATGAAGTTGGGTTGGATGGCTGCTGGTAGTGGTAGAATCTGTACTGCTCTTTTCTCAGCCTTGGTGGATTTGTTAAAGAAATCAGGACTTTTAGTGCCTTATCTATGTGAGCTTTGAGGAGGAATAGCCAATCCCAGGACATATGAAAAATTCCTCTCAATTTTATATTAAAATATTATCAAATTTAATATTTAGCTCTATCCCGTGAGTTAGATATGAATGATATTTCAGTTTCAGAGACAAGGAAATTGGGATCCGAGAAACCTGACTGATGTTACACAGTTGATCGTTGGTCTTGCTAAGATTGGGAATTACGCCTGTCATTCTCTGAAACCACTTTTACATTTATGCTTTGGCATTTTAGTTCAACAAGTAAATCTGTTTAGTTCCTATAGATTTAATTTTTTTCCAGCACAGATGTATAGAATTGAAGAATTATATTCAGTAGGCTTATGACTTAATCAGATCCAGTTAAAACACAAGACATAAATCTTGAATTATTAGTATTATACAAGTAAACAAGCACCACCTGATAGATTCGCACTTATATATTATTTATAGACTCAATTTTAAAGAGAGTGGCACTGCCTATAAAATAGAGAAAGCAAATAACCATGTGTAGAGAGTGAATCTGCCTGTCTATATTTGATAAGTTAGGGGTGAGCTGTAACTATCTATCACTGAGCTCTTTGGCTTTAAAAAATAAAACTGATCATCTTATTATAAATTCTTGGAAATAAACATCTACTTAAAAAATAATTTCTCCTATTGGCCTCATACTTGGCATTTGTCTGCTGGAAAAAAATAAACTTGAGGATCAGCAAAACCAGAGCAAGGAAAATAGTGTCATTATATTAGCATTTCTCCCTAAACTCAAATGAGTTAAGTATGATTCTTTTAATAGAAGACACTTAGTAATATTTCACAGTATGTTTATTCGGACTTTTTATTGAATTTTTATATTATGCAAATGGCATAGTTATTTCAAGCTTCTTGGTGTTTGGAGCCATAGATATTAAGACAATCCCAGCTCCACAAGGGAATTAATGAACGTGGAGTACCACACTACCCACATTAGGCTGCCAGTCAGCATTAGGGCAGATTGCCTTTGACATAGGTACAATATGATTGAAGACAGACTCCTCGAGTACATGTGATGAGCTTGAGGATTGAATATTTTCTCCTTGCCTGAAATAACATCACTTTGCAAATGTGAGAAAGTTTATAACTGATGGACACGTAGATAGGTAGCAACTAGTTAGATGGATGGATAGGAAGTAAATAAATATGTCGATGGAAAATTACTTTCTAGGTATCTTTATACTGAGCTTAAATGTGTTTGTAACATCTTATGAAGGACAATGAAGCCAATAAATGTTGGGCATCTTTAATAAATACAGGAAATATAAGACTTTCAATGGTCTTATGTAGATGAGAGATAATATTTAAACATGGCAAAAGTTAAATGATGAAGTACTTAATTATCATTTTCAGACAAAAATTGGGCTTTAGTCACAAGAGTGTGTGCAAACATGTTTATTGAGACCAATTCAGAAGAATCATGACTATTGTTTGTATCTATCTATCTATCTATCTATCTATCCTGTCTCTCTAATCTTTCTATCTTTTCATTTCATTGTAGAAACAGACTATGTGCCAACAATACTTGGGAGGCTTAGTTTTCTCTCCTTTGAGTTGACTAATTCTCTCTTGAAAAGGAGCCCTTGCTTTCAGTAAGATTTCTCAGGTTAAAAAAAGGTTTTGATTTAATATTTGAAGATGGAGTTAACCTCCTGCTGTGCTTTAAGCTTTGAAAATCTGCTGCAAAGTGGCATTTCAAAGACAGCTAATATTAAATTCAGTTTGCAATATTCATATCTAATTGTTATAGGATGTGTTGTTCTGTTAATAAGTAGCAGAATAACAATGTTATTATGTTTGGCTTTCACATGCGTTTTTAGACCTTTGTCAAAGGACAGTATTCCTGTAAATGTGTTGAGAAACATTTATACAAGCCTGAACTCCTACAGTTAAAAAAATGGATTGTCATTTTTTACTTAGCTAAGATATTCTTGTGTTGGTACCGTACTTTTTTATTTAAAAAGAGTCTAGTTCTAAGTTGAAACTACTGTACTATAATATAAAATGGTAATGGTACTGTTTCTTCTAAAACATGATTTACTGAGGTCTACATGTTATGAAAAGTTTTTTTTAATAGTTGACATTTTTTTCTTTCTATTGCAGCTTTTCTGTATGTTCAGAGTACCTTTTTACCCCAATAAAACTAAAAAATACAAGTATGATGTTAGAATGCTACTTTTGTCTGGGTAAGAAAGAACAATTGTGCATACAGTTATTAATAATCTTTAATCAGAAAAGTTGACTGTAGTGGGTAAAATCAAGTCAGTTTTATTATTCATTAAGATAATCCTGAAGGAGCTACCTTTCATAGAATAAACAATAGAATTATAATATTTCAGTTATGATGTGAAATATGACCATATGCTAAACTGCTTGGCCTTTTAATCAGATTTTTCTAATGATTTGTGCAAATTTAAACAATACTATTACCACCTATTATTATCACTGTTATACAGAATTTGTTGTTTGATTTTTTTGGATCAAAGAAATATTAATAATTTTGTATTTTCAGAAGAAAAATCTTATCCCAAAATCAGATTTTAAAATATATTAACTATTATTATAATCATTAAAAATTATCTTAAATGACCTTATGAGTGTCCCACATTTGATCTAGGCAAAGTTTCAATTTAAACTCAAAAGTCTTTGACCATGACCTTGGCTTCTATAATGATTATTTTTCTATGGGATTGGCATAGGCATATAATTCATCTTTAATTGAATTATGTTAATGGTTTTTGCTCATTTTGGCTTAGGTTTACTGGGGAGGCATCTGAAGAAGTTGTTTGATATTGGCCTTACAATAAAATAATGTATTTTCTTCAGTTCATAGAATAAAGGTAGTGAGATTTTAACACCCGCTTTGTCATAGAGGTCATATATTTTAATTTTCATTTTTTTTTGTAGATAATCTTATCTCCTAACTAGGAGATAAATGGGAAAGTAAAAAGCCATCCAATATGTTCTTCCTAATGTTGTTATTTTTCAAATTTCCACTGTCTCCGTATCGTCTACCACTTCTCTCCCTTTTCTCATCTAACAGCAGGATAAATGTTCAGCCTAACTATCCATTCTCCTAGACTAAGGCCTTCATCTATGCCTTCTGTCCCTTTCCTTTAGACCCTTCTAAGATCCTCTTCTAAGACACAAGTGGCACATTTTTCTCTTGGTTCCTTGGTTCCCTTAATCTCTCATTTTCTTTCCCTTCCTGGCCAAATTTGTTGAAAATTCAATCTACACTCATTACCTCTATTTCTTTTACTTTCATTTCTTAACTCACTTCAATATTATTCCTTTTCCTATTTCTCTTTAATACAGAGTGAATTGTTCCCAGCTTCCATCAGGAGGAATAGGTGTATGTATCAAAAAATAGTCACTCCAATTATTGAGACAACAAAACTAATTGCAGGATCCATTAGGACACTTTCCCGGAGATCTCGGAGCCTTGAAGGATGGGGTAATGGGAACGGCAGGAGTTGGAGAACTCAGAGTGCTATTTAGAAGATAGAATTGCAATCGTGATTTACCGTGGCACCCATACAACTCTGCTGGAATCTATAAAACACTCAGCTTTAACACAGGATACAAATAGCTATACTATGTGTCCCCAGATTAGGATTAACCAAGGAATGTGTTTAAAAATTTTTGAAATTAAATTGCACTACATAGTGTAAAGTAGTAAGTAAGTCTCAGATTGGGAAAATATGGGAATCTCAAATTCATCCTTTCTCTTTATGTATTTAACAAAAAATAGAACCAACAACAACAAGAAACTCTTGCTACTATGGAGTAGAAGTGATTTTTAAAGCCAGAGCACAGAACTATTGTTTTATAGCTTATATAATTAATGTAGGCTATAAATCCCAACTTTATATTAGAAGTACTACATAAGTAAACCCAGCCCATATTTCTTTTTAACATACATTCATTTCAGATAGCCAGAAAAAATAATTTATTTTATAAGCCTTGAGAATTTAATTTGAATTTGAGAATTAGTTTAGTTCTGTACAGCACATGGGTTACTCATAAAGTTAACACTTGTCTTTAAATAATATTTTTCCCCTAACAAAAGAATTAACAGATTCTCATTAGCAAGTCATGTTATATAAATTTTACTGTATGTACTCTTTGCTAATTTCACAATTGTTCCAATAGATTTCTTACTGGCTTTATTTTTCCCCTTCACTAATTACTGAAAGTATTTGCTTAAGAAAAATGTGTTGAGTGTTGATTCTGTTCCAAATTTTTTGTAAGTGCTGGAGATGCAAGTAGGAATTAGGGGCATTCTCAGTTCTTGCCTTTAAAGGGTGTCTGGCCCAGGAGTGGCTCTTCTCTGCCACAGGGTTTTTGCAAAGGTTGTTCTGTCTAGAAAACTCCTCAACTACCCCATCCTCTCTAGGTGTCCTTAACACACTCTCAGAGCAGCCTCTACTTTTTCTTTTACATCTCTCACAATCATAATTAAATAGTTACTCATGTAATCACTTATTTGATAGCCATATCTTCTGCTCGATTATAAATACCATAACAGCAAATAATCCTTCCCCAGAGCCAAACACAGTGCCTGGCATATAGTAGCCGTTCAAAAATATTTGTGGAATATATGAATGAATGAATGAATGAATGATTGATTTAATTGCCCAGAAAGAGTAGGTGGAGAGAGGAAAGGAGATAAACAGAAGCTCATCAATATTTTCTAAGTAGAGCATGCTAAGGAAAAACAGAGGTAGAGATTATCTTCATTTTACGGAAATTCCTGAGAAGTAATCTCCATTAAAAAAATAAGAGATAAGTGTCATGTCACAAACTTCAAAGTTACAGTTAAGATAGCTATCGTGTGTTAAATGTGGTAAATCATAGCCTCAAAGAAATATTTCCTAACCCCCTTGTCTCTCCTGCCCTCTTAACCTACTTAATTTATTTTCATACTACTAATAGATTCTTTCATATAGCTGAATCAATCCATTCATATATGCATACATTTGGGTGTACTGTTTTTACAAACTGTATTATTATTATAATAAGGTTGTTAAAGTTTGCTTGTGGTCTCTCTCTTTCCCATAAGAATGTTAGTTTCAGGAGTCCAAGGACTTTGGGTATTTTTTTTTTTTTTTTTTTTTTGAGGGTAGAGTCTCACTCTGTCACCCAGGCTGGTGTGCAATGGTGCAATCTTGGCTCACTGCAACATCCGCCTCCCGGGCTCAAGCGATTCTCCTGCCTCAGCCTCCAGAGCAGGTGGGATTACAGGTGCCCACCACCACCCCCAGCTAATTTTTGTATTTTTAGTAGAGATGGGGTTTTACCATGTTGTGCAGGCTGGTCTCGAACTCCTGTCCTCAGGATCCACCCACCTCGGCCTCCCAAAGTGCTGGGACTACAGGCTTGAGCCACCGCGGGTGGCTGACTTTGGGTATTTTTATTTTTGTCATCTACACTGTCTGGGAGAATACTTAGCACATAAAGGAAAGTGAAGACATTTTAGTTGAATGGTGTTGTATAGATGATTAGATTTAGAAATTAGAAGGGCATTGATGACCTTAGAGAATTTTGAAGACAAGGTAGCCAAGACCATACTTTTATGTAAGTGCTATTGAGCTAATCTGTAGCATTTAATTTCTTACCCAACGTTCTATTCTTAAACTTAATCTCGTCATATTGTTGAGATTGAAGTTTGGCATCTCTGGCTGACGTACTTCTGATGAGAACAATATGACAAATTGTCTGTCCCTTCCCCACCCTCCACCACACAAATTTATACAATATACAATGACCATACAGGGCAGGAAAACTGCATTCAGCACTTCTATTTGGAAAGAAATGAGTAGGAGACAAACAGCAGTCTCTAGTCTCTAGCAAGTTTCAAATCTATCTGGGCAAGATTTTGTGAGGACCCCTGCTTGGGGGTTGGTAAGGGTGTCCCTTGATTAAGAAATAATTCTGCTTTATTGAGGTGACAGGCTTTTCTCCAATTTTCTCTCTGGCTCCTGCCTCCACCCTGCAGAGGTTTCTTTATTTCCTATTATCCTCTAAGACCATGTCAGAAATGGTATTGGTAATACACTCTACCTGATAGCTTAAGAGATTTCTCAGGCAACCTCCTGCTCAAGAAAGGTTGGAGACAAAGAGGCACCTAAATCTGTTAACAGTCACAGACTTTGTAGTCCAGGGTCAGAATTTCTTGGGAAGTCCAACTCTCTCAAAAAACTGATTTCAGTGAGTTCCATACAGCAGTAAGCATACCTACAAACATTTCTTTCTCAAATAGTTCCTAGATCTGTTACGTTACTCTGCTTTCACAGCTCCTAACTTCTCTCTCAATTTAAAGAAGCCCCCTTTGAGGTTATCCAGCTTCTAAAGGAAATGTATAGCTCAACCTGCCTTTTTTCTGAGTCACTTTAAACTGTTAAGGGGTCTTAGCAGTAGATGTAAAGGCCATCACCTTAGTCTGGTCTTTGTCACAAAATTGGGTTTTAATCTGGTTTTGTTGTGCAAACGTCATCAATTCTAAAACTGTAACTCTCCAAATTTTTAGAATTGTTTCATTATCTTTCATATCTGTTTTCAATCTAGACAGTTTTTTATTCCTGAATGCACATCTTCTTTTAATATAATGCCAAATACAGCCATTTGCACAAAAAGAACACTGTAAATGGTCTATTCTCTGACGTCTCACCCTAATGTGGCAAGTTCATTAAACACACATGCTGCTTCACAAATCATAGCAGGCAACAATCTTACCAAATATTTTGCTTCTGCAAAGAATGGATTGCCATCTTTCTATGTTCCAATATCCGTTCCCTTACTGCCCCAACCCAATTGCTAAGCCAATGCCATATATTTTGACTTTTTGTTATCATAACACTCCATTCCCTGTGTAAATTCTGTATTAGTCAGGATTAAACTAGGCTATGCTACAATGGCAAACAACCTCTAAATATCAGCAGCTTAATCCCATAAATCAGATTCCCATTTCCTAAAGAGTTCAAACAAGGAGCAAGGCGACTGCCTAGCCACTCCCTAAAGCAATTCTTGCTGCATCAACCTTGTGGTTACACCATCTCAGCAAAACGTCTCAGGGACAATTTCAAAGCCAGGAAAGCACTCCTTTTCTTACTGCTCTGGCTTCTGTGTTGATGTGGAGGTGAAGGATGTGGCTCATTTTGTTCAGGGTTGCAAGCCAAACTTGGAACTTCAAGAGAATCAGTGAGCCTCAGACATCCATTTGATTCATGGGAGAAGTAGATTAACCTTGCTCCGCTCCTTCTCCTAGACACAACTGGCCTGACTTGTAGTTCTGTTGGTTCTTGGAGAAAGTTCCTACAAAATCGAGCAATCCGTCAGTTTCAGCTGGCCTGAAATGCATCTTCATATTGCACCTCTCTCCTTCTCTGCCTCACTTTCCTTGTCCAGTACTCCAGCTCGCTGGTTTTGTGCACCTGATAAAATCACAGATAAAGTAGAAATGAAGGCAATAACCTAAAAAGTACACTAAATTGCTTAAGAAAGCAGCCAGACTCCTTATCTATCATTCAGGGTCCTTCATGATCCATAGTCTTATCAACTGTGGAATGCTGTTCCTTTTCAGAAATCTCTGATTCTTCATTTAGAAATATTGATCATAGAATTTTAGTTGTATCTGTTACTACACCTATTGTTTTGTTACTTGGATTATATCTTTGGGGTGCCTTTATACATTTATATAGTCATCAAATGGTTACTTAGAACCAGGCTTTATACTGTTCTTAAAACAAGAATTAAACCACGAGGACATAGATGCTGCTACACTAGCGTGGTGGAAATGATAAACTTCGTCACAGTCGTTCAGGAATTAAGTAGGGATTCCAGGACACAACTCATATTGACCTGAATTTCAAAGTCCATATTCCTTTTTTTTTTTTTGAATCGGAGTCTCGTTCTGTCGCCCAGGCTGGAGTGCAGTGAGGCGATCTAGGCTCACTGCAACCTCTGCTCTCGGGCTCATGCCATTCTCCTGCCTCAGCCTCCCGAGTAGCTGGGACTACAGGTGCCTGCCACCATGCCCGGCTAATTTTTTGTATTTTTAGTAGAGATGGGGTTTCACCGTGTTAACCAGGATGGTCTCGATCTCCTGACCTTGTGATCTGCCCACCTCGCCCTCCCAAAGTGCTGGGATTACAGGCATGAGCCACAGTGCCCGGCCAGTAATTTGTGACTTTTTTTTTTTTTTTTTTTTTGAGACAGAGTCTGGCTCTGTCGCCCAGGTTGGAGTGCAGTGGCGTGATCTTGGCTCACCGCGAGCTCCGCCTCCCGGGTTCACGCCATTCTCCTGCCTCAGCCTCCCGAGTAGCCGGGACTACATGTGCCCCCCACCACGCCCGGCTAATTTTTTGTATTTTTTTTTTTTTTTTTTTTAGTGGAGACGGGGTTTCACCATGTTAGCCAGGATGGTCTCGATATCCTTACCTCGTGATCCGCCCGCCTTGGCCTCCCAAAGTGCTGGGACTACAGGCGTGAGCCACCGTGCCCAGCCTCAAAGCCCATATTCTTATTTTAAAGTTCCCCTCACTCTCTGAACAAATATTTATGAATTGTTGCACTCTATGTGAATATAGTGAGTTATTTATTTTCTACATTTGTGTATGTGGTAGTGTAAAGTATTCCAGACATCAGATTTTCAGGGCATGTGATAGTGGAGGAAATTGTTAGGAAGATGCTACTCTGAGGACATCTATAGAAATCACATGAGAGTATAAATTTGAGGGAAGAAAATTAAAACACTCTATGTAGCCATGTAAGAAAAAAGACATATTTTGGCAAGAAATAAGAACGTCTTTCTTTTCTCCCCTCCTTTTCTCCCTCCTTTCCTTCTTTTCAACAGCCCTGTTTTTTGTAAGACATAACCTTGATCTTTCGATGTGAAATAAGCATTCTAAGTCTCAGCCTCAAGAAACTCACTAAAAAACAACTATGATATATTTACTTAATTAGAGGGCACAAGAATGACACTCTGATTCCATTTGAAAAACACGGACAAAAAATGTAGAAGTGTTTTACAGTGTTGCAAAATTCTCCTACAACTTCTCACTTAATTTACCTCTACTTTTATGATGAACATATTAAAGAGAAATTTTAAAAATCAGAGAAAAATTGATGAGTGCAATATTATTCAGTTGGGATACAAAGCATACCTTCTTGTATATATTTACTATAAATTTAGTATTTGTAGAATCAGAAACATTTCCTAATGTGAAATCTTTGGAAATTGAACCTTCCAAGCCAAAGATAGTGCAGAAAGAACTTGTGTCACTAACAAATAAGTAATACTTCTAATCTATATAAAAGCATATTAAATATTTTGCCATTATTTTGTTACCAATTTTTCTTGTTATTTCTCTATAATATCTGTTAAGCATCCTTGATAAGAACAGAAAATATTTCCAAAAAATATAGCGAGCCAGTTTTACTGGTATATTCATCCTAATTATGGATTTTTTTGGTAAAAGTTTTCATAGACTTACTAAAATGTAACTTGATTTTTAAAAGTAGAAACATGGCCCAATTTATTTCTCAATAAATTCATTTGTTCTACAAAGCTTTGATTCTTTTTTCTAAAGATTTCATGTAGGACAGTTAGAAAATCTCTGTACTCAAGACGGATAAATATTTTGTTCACTAATTCTTCTAAATATAAAGTTATACTAATAATATGAAAATTAAAAAGTATTATTAACATAGTTATCTATGAAACTAATCTACCCTTTGGCTGGATGACTATAAAGTTATGTAATATAATTTCAGTGTCTCCCAACAATAAATCTTGTTCTTGACTAAAAGTCTTATAATCATAATATTTTAATTTTTATAGAATATGAAATTGCTTGCTACACATAAACTAAAAGTCATCTAAAATAAATGAATTATCACCTCTACTTCTAAAGTTAATATGAACAAAATTAATGCACAGAGAGGAGAAAGTATGAAAATTAAGATAAAATGTTGAGAGCATTGGACTTCCTGTCATGCCAGGAAGACAAGGACACTGTCAAATCCAGAGGATATATATATCCTGGTAGGATTTGAATTTCAAGCAAGATATTAGCCTTGAAGAACATTCGGGATTCTAGGTTTGAAGGTTTTACAGGGGATGAGATTTAGATTGGTTTTGTGGATTGAAATGAATAAATTCCATTCCAGAAATTTCAATGCTTTCTCCATACTATAAAGCTATTTACGTATACTTGTAGGACGAAACAATTTGGAGACCGCAAACATGTTTTTGTGTGTGTGTTTCAGATAGTATGCTGGTTTATAATATAAATTTTATATCGTGTGTGTAGCAAACCCTTACATTTCCTTGGTAAATTTGCTAGATTATATAAATCAAATACATTTGCATATAACATGGAATTTACATTTGATTTATTCACTTTCATGTTGCAGATATAAATCTAACAATAAACTTATGGTCTTCTTCATTTTAATCAGCAAAGGATAAATCATCTGGATAAGAATTTTATAAGAATATAGGGGTGGAGCCAAGATGGGCGAATAGGAACAGCTCCAGTCTATAGCTCGCAGCGTGAGCAACCCAGAAGACAGGTGATTTCTGCATTTCCAACAGAGATACCAGGTTCATCCCACTGGGGAGTGCTGGACAGTGGGTGCAGGACAGTGGGTGCAGCACACTGTGCGTGAGCTGAAGCAGGGCGAGGCATTGCCTTACCCGGGAAGCGCAAGGGGTCAGGGATTTCCCTTTCCTAGTCAAAGACAGGGGTGACAGATGGCACCTGGAATATCAGGTCACTCCCACCCTAGTACTGCGCTTTTCCAATGGGCTTAACAAACAGCACACCAGGAAATTATATCCCACACCTGGCTCAGAGGGTACTACGCCCATAGAGCCTCACTCATTGCTAGCACAGCAGTCTGAGATCAAACTGCAAGGCGGCAGCGAAGCTGGGGGAGGGGCGCCCACCATTGCAGAGGATTGAGTAGGTAAACAAAGTGGCCTGGAATCTCGAACTGGGTGGAGCCCACCGCAGCTCAAGGAGGCCTGCCTGCCTCTGTAGGCTCCACCTCTGGGGGCAGGGCACAGACAAACAAAAGGCAGCAGTAACCTCTGCAGACTTAAATGTCCCTGTCTGACAGCTTTGAAGAGAGTAGTGGTTCTCCCAGCACGCAGCTTGAGATCTGAGAATGGGCAGACTGCCTCCTCAAGTGGGTCCCTGACCCCCGAGTAGCCTAGCTGGGAGGCACCCCCCAGTAGGGGCAGACTGACACCTCACACGGCTGGGTACTCCTCTGAGACAAAACTTTCAGAGGAACTATCAGGCAGCAGCATTTGTGGTTCACCAATATCTGCTGTTCTGCAGCCACTGCTGCTGATACCCAGGCAAACAGGGTCTGGAGTGGACCTCCAGCAAACTCCAACAGACCTGCAGCTGAGGGTCCTGACTGTTAGAAGGAAAACTAACAAACAGAAAGGACATCCACACCAAAAACCCATCTGTACGTCACCATCATCAAAGACCAAAGGTAGATAAAACCACAAAGATGGGGAAAAAACAGAGCAGAAAAACCGGAAACTCTAAAAATCAGAGCACCTCTCCTCCTCCAAAGGAACGCAGCTCTTCACCAGCAATGAAACAACGCTGGTTGGAGAGTGACTTTGACGAGTTGAGAGAAGAAGGCTTCAGAAGATCAAACTACTCCGAGCTAAAGGAGGAAGTTCAAACCAATGACAAAGAAGTTAAAAACCTTGAAAAAAAATTAGATGAATGGCTAACTAGAATAACCAATGCAGAGAAGTCCTTAAAGGACCTGATGGAGCTGAAAACCATGGCACAAGAACTACGCGATGAATGCATAAGCCTCAGTAGCCGATGCGATCAACTGGAAGAAAGGGTATCAGCGATGGAAGATGAAATGAATGAAATGAAACGAGAAGAGAAGTTTAGAGAAAAAAGAAACGAACAAAGCCTCCAAGAAATATGGGACTATGTGAAAAGACCAAATCTACGTCTGATTGGTGTACCTGAAAGGGACAGGGAGAATGGAACCAAGTTGGAAAACACTCTGCAGGATATTATCCAGGAGAACTTCCCCAATCTAGCAAGGCAGGCCAACATTCACATTCAGGAAATACAGAGAATGCCACAAAGATACTCCTCGAGAAGAGCAACTCCAAGACACATAATTGTCAGATTCGCCAAAGATGAAATGAAGGAAAAAATGCTAAGGGCAGCCAGAGAGAAAGGTCGAGTTACCCACAAAGGGAAGCCCATCAGACTAACAGCGGATCTCTCGGCAGAAACTCTACAAGCCAGAAGAGAGTGGGGGCCCGTATTCAACATTCTTAAAGAAAAGAATTTTCAACCCAGAATTTCATATCCAGCCAAACTAAGCTTCATAAGTGAAGGAGAAATAAAATACTTTACAGACAAGCAAATGCTGAGAGATTTTGTCACTACCAGGCCTGCCCTAAAAGAGCTCCTGAAGGAAGCACTAAACATGGAAAGGAACAACCGATACCAGCCACTGCAAAAACATGCCAAATTGTAAAGACCATCAAGGCTAGGAAGAAACTGCATCAACTAACGAGCAAAATAACCAGCTAACATCATAATGACAGGATCAAATTCACACATAACAATATTAACCTTAAATGTAAATGGGCTAAATGCTCCAATTAAAAGACACAGACTGGCAAATTGGATAACGAGTCAAGACCCATCAGTGTGCTGTATTCAGAAAACCCATCTCATATTCAGAGACACATATAGGCTCAAAATAAAGGGATGGAGGAAGATCTACCAAGAAAATGGAAAACAAAAAAAGGCAGGGGTTGCAATCCTAGTCTCAGATAAAACAGACTTTAAACCAACAAAGATCAAAAGAGACAAAGAAGGCCATTACATAATGGTAAAGGGATCAATTCAACAAGAAGAGCTAACTATCCTAAATATATATGCACCCAATAAAGGAGCACCCAGATTCATAAAGCAAGTCCTTAGTGACCTACAAAGAGACTTAGACTCCCACACAATAATAATGGGAGACTTTAACACCCCACTGTCAACATTAGACAGATCAACGAGACAGAAAGTTAACAAGGATATCCAGGAATTGAACTCAGCTCTGCACCAAGTAGACCTAATAGACATCTACAGAACTCTCCACCCCAAATCAACAGAATATACATTCTTTTCAGCACCACACTGCACCTATTCCAAAATTGACCACATAGTTGAAAGTAAAGCACTCCTCAGCACATGTAAAAGAACAGAAATTATAACAAACTGTCTCTCAGACCGCAGTGCAATCAAACTAGAACTCAGGATTAAGAAACTCACACAAAACTGCTCAACTACATGGAAACTGAACAACCTGCTCCTGAATGACTACTGGGTACATAACGAAATGAAGGCAGAAATAAAGATGTTGGTTTCTTTGAAACCAACGAGAACAAAGACACAACATACCAGAATCTCTGGGACACATTCAAAGCAGTGTGTAGAGGGAAATTTATAGCACTAAATGCCCACAAGAGAAAGCAGGAAAGATCTAAAACTGACACCCTAACATCACAATTAAAAGAACCAGAGAAGCAAGAACAAACACATTCAAAAGCTAGCAGACGGCAAGAAATAACTAAGATCAGAGCAGAACTGAAGGAGATAGAGACACAAAAAACCCTTCAAAAAATCAACGAATCCAGGAGCTGGTTTTTTGAAATGATCAACAAAATTGATAGACCACTAGCAAGAATAATAAAGAAGAGAAGAGAGAAGACTCAGATAGACGCAGTAAAAAATGACAAAGGGGATATCACCACCGATCCCACAGAAATACAAACTACCATCAGAGAATACTACAAACACCACTATGCCAATAAACTAGAAAATCTAGAAGAAATGGATAAATTCCTTGACACATACACCCTCCCAAGACTAAACCCGGAAGAAGTTGAATCTCTGAATAGACCAATAACAGGCTCTGAAATTGAGGCAATAATTAATAGCTTACCAACCAAAAAGAGTCCAGGACCAGATGGATTCACAGCCGAATTCTACCAGAGGTACAAGGAGGAGCTGGTACCATTCTTTCTGAAACTATTCCAATCAATAGAAAAAGAGGGAATCCTCCCTAACTCATTTTATGAGGCCGGCATCATCCTGATACCAAAGCCTGGCAGAGAGACAACAAAAAACGAGAATTTTAGACCAATATCCCTGATGAAGATCGATGCAAAAATCCTCAATAAAATACTGGCAAACCGAATCCAGCAGCACATCAAAAAGCTTATCCACCATGATCAAGTGGGCTTCATCCCTGGGATGCAAGGCTGGTTCAACATATGAAAATCAATAAACGTAATCCAGCATATAAATAGAACCAAAGACAAAAACCACATGATTATCTCAATAGATGCAGAAAAGGCCTTTGACAAAATTCAACAGCCCTTCATGCTAAAAACTCTCAATAAATCATATATTGATGGGATGTATCTCAAAATAATAAGAGCTATCTATGACAAACCCACAGCCAATATCATACTGAACGAACAAAAACTGGAAGTATTCCCTTTGAAAACTGGCACGAGACAGAGATGCCCTCTCTCACCACTCCTATTCAATATAGTGTTGGAAGTTCTGGCCAGGGCAATCAGGCAGGAGAAGGAAATAAAGGGCGTTCAGTTAGGAAAAGAGGAAGTCAAATTATCCCTGTTTGCAGACGACATGACTGTATATCTAGAAAACCCCATCGTCTCAGCCCAAAATCTTCTTAAGCTGATAAGCAACTTCAGCAAAGTCTCAGGATACAAAATCAATGTGCAAAAATCACAAGCATTCTTATACACCAATAACAGACAAACAGAGAGCCAAATCATGAGTGAATTCCCATTCACAATTGCTTCAAAGAGAATAAAATACCTAGGAATCCAACTTACAAGGGATGTGAAGGACCTCTTCAAGGAGAACTACAAACCACTGCTCAATGAAATAAAAGAGGATACAAACAAATAGAAGAACATTCCATGCTCATGGGTAGGAAGAATCAATATCATGAAAATGGCCATACTGCCCAAGGTAATTTATAGATTCAATGCCATCCCCATCAAGCTACCAATGACTTTCTTCACAGAATTGGAAAGAACTACTTTAAAGTTCATATGGAACCAAAAAAGGGCCCGCATTGCCAAGTCAATCCTAAGCCAAAAGAACAAAGCTGGAGGCATCACGCTACCTGGCTTCAAACTATACTACAAGGCTACAGTAACCAAAACAGCATGGTACTGGTACCAAAACAGAGATATAGACCAATGGAACAGAACAGAGCCCTCAGAAATAATGCCGCATATCTACAACTATCTAGTCTTTGACAAACCTGACAAAAACAAGCAATGGGAAAAGGATTCCCTATTTAATAAATGGTGCTGGGAAAACTGGCTAGCCACATGTAGAAAGTTGAAACTGGATCCCTTCCTTACACCTTATACAAAAATTAATTCAAGATGGATTAAAGACTTACATGTTAGGCCTAAAACCATAAAAACTCTAGAAGAAAACCTAGGCAATACCATTCAGGACATAGGCATGGGCAAGGACTTCATGTCTAAAACACCAAAAGCAATGGCAACAAAAGCCAAAATTGACAAATGGGATCTAATTAAACTAAAGAGCTTCTGCACAGCAAAAGAAACTACCATCGGAGTGAACAGGCAACCTACACAATGGGCGAAAATTTTTGCAACCTACTCATCTGTCAAAGGGCTAATATCCAGAATCTACAATGACCTCAAACAAATTTACGAGAAAAAAACAACCCCGTCACAAAGTGGGCGAAGGACACGAACAGACACTTCTCAAAAGAAGACATTTATGCAGCCAAAAAACACATGAAAAAATGCTCATCGTCACTGGCCATTAGAGAAATGCAAATCAAAACCACAATGAGATACCATCACACACCAGTTAGAATGGCGATCATTAAAAAATCAGGAAACAACAGGTGCTGGAGAGGATGTGGAGAAATAGGAACACTTTTACACTGTTGGTTGGACTGTAAACTAGTTCAACCATTGTGGAAGTCAGTGTGGTGATTCCTCAGGCATCTAGAACTAGAAATACCATTTGATGCAGCCATCCCATTACTGGGTATATACCCAAAGGATTATAAATCATGCTGCTATAAAGACACATGCACATGTATGTTTATTGCAGCACTATTCACAATAGCAGAGACTTGGAACCAAGCCAAATGTTCAACAATGATAGACTGGATTAAGAAAATGTGGCACATATACACCATGGAATACTATGCAGCCATAAAAAATGATGAGTTCCTGTCCTTTTTAGGGACATGGATGAAGCTGGAAACCATCATTCTCAGCAAACTATCGCAGGGACAAAAAACCGAACACCGCATGTTCTCACTCATAGGTGGGAATTGAACAATGAGAACACTTGGACACAGGAAGGGGAACATCACACACTGGGGCCTGTCATGGGGTGGGGGGAAGGGGGATAGATAGCATTAGGAGATATACCTAATGCTAAATGACGAGTTAGTGGGTGCAGCACACCAACATGGCACATGTATACATATGCAACAAACCTGCACATTGTGCACATGTACCCTAAAACTTAAAGTATAATAATAATAAAATAAAATAAAAAGAATATAAAATGGTTTTAGGAAGAAACTACTGAATAATATTTATTTAATGTTTTATTTAAAAAGAATCAGATAAAACAGATTCTGTAAATGATTTCACCTATAACTGTAAGCATTTGGTGCTTAAAATAATTTTAACTCATTATTATTTTCAAAGATTAAAAATGAAAAGTCAACCAGTCACATTACATAAATGGGCCACTAATGAGAAATAATGACACAATTAATTTTCTTTAGTGAATAATGACAAGTTTTGAAAAGTAAACATTTAATTTCACATTTATTTAAAAAATTAATTAAATTTTCTTCAGTATTTTAATGAAAATAAAGAATGTCTTAGCCTATCAAATGTTGATCTGAAATTCTTTAAAAAGTTTTTTAATTGATAAAATTGTATGTCTTTATCATAATTCTATAATTCTTATGAAGTTTTTGGGACTTGCATACCTTGATTTACTTGGTGTAACTTTAAATTGGCTGGATATTTAATTATATATTTAATTTGACCATTCAGTCAATATCATATTTCGATCTTTAGAGTAAATTAGTCTCAAACATGTATTGAGTGCCTGTCTACTAAAATGTGTTAGGTGCTGCAGGGAATTTACCGAGAAAATCCATTCTTCCTAATTTTCTTCCCAAAGCAATAGACACGTAACATACACTTGTTTAACAAAACCCAAGAAATGCATAAATGTTCTCAATGCATCCATATCCAGTCATTTCCGATCTGCTTCTCATTCTGCACTCCAAAGGCCATAGATGATTTCTAACTTGCTTGTCTAAGTTAAGCTGCTCCACCCATAGTGGCGCAGAGTGTGTGTTTCCGACTCTCTTGTGGTTCCATTATTTACTTCATCATCTTCTCCTCAAGGCCTGAGAAGAGAGGATGTTAAAATAACATAACATAAATAATACAATAACATAAAATAACAATAACAAGTATCAGAGGAAAAAAAATCCCAACTACTCTGTCCATGCAATAGAGACAGAAAAATGCAAAGAAAAGATGTTTTTTTTCCTACTTCAGAGAGACACTGTTAAAGCAGAAATTAAAAAGGTGGAAGAAGGCAACACATACTGGAAGAGAGGAAAGAGAAGATTCAGTGACCTAACTTATGATGGAATTAACATGTATTTGAAATGAAAGAAATTGGTAACAGAATATGGCAGCAACAGCAAAAGCAGCCAAAGCAGGAGAGAAATCAAGTGCCATCAAAACCAGGAGAACTACATTCACACACATGCTGGAGGCAAGAGTGGACTCCATGGTACTCAGGAGCTAGAGTTTTAATTGCAGATGAGACAAAGTCAGGGACTTCCTGAAATATTGAAAAGAGTTAGACGATGGTCAAAACCATTCTTTGTTATCATTATTATTACCCTATATTTACTCCAGGGGTATGTGACCTAACCTCGTACAAAGATACTCCCTTTCATTCACAGCCAAATTTTAGAAAAACTAGTCTATATTAACTGTCTCTCTCTACTTTTAATCACCAACACTTATCAGTGCTAATCACACTGAAATATGGTTACAGATACCTCCAATTCCTCTTTCCTTTGGAAAAGGTCACCAATGAACTCCTAATTATCCAACAGTAGGCACACTTCTGTTCTTGAACTTTGTAGCATTGATGAGTTGAACACTTGCCACTTTTCTTTTTTATTCTTTTTTTTTTTTTAAATTATACTTTAAGTTCTCGGGTACATGTGCAGAACGTGCAGGTTTGTTACATAGGTATACATGTGCCATGGTGGTTTGCTGCACCCATCAACCCACCATCTACATTAGGTATTTCTCCTAATGCTATCCCTCCCCTAGCCCCTATCCCCCGACAGGCCCCAGTGTGTGATGTTCCCCTCCCTGCATTGATAAGTTGAACACTTGATCTTTTTCGAATACCTGTTTTCACTTTGCTCCAAGTGCTTTTTCACTTCAGTACTTTTCCTTCAAGGTGCTGCTTTTATCTGATCCATGCCCTGTTTTGTTGGTTACTCCTCTTAGTTTCACTTTGTTTATTTTTTTAAAAATGTGTCTCACCTAGGTTGTTCATTGGTTCTTTTTGCTTTCCAATTCACTCTTCTCAATTCACGCTCTGTCTGGGTGATCTCACCCACGCGCATTGATTTTAAATACCAGCTAGAAAAGAAAAAGGGATCTAGGAGTGTTTTCCCTTTCTTTCATTCACATAGCTCCACTTCCTCCAGAAAGTCTTCATTGATGACTGATGATGTTGACTTGTATAACTACTAGCTATGCCCAAGTGTATTTACCCTCACAGACATTATTTATCCTCAGTGTTGCTCACTGGTTCATTTGATGTTCAAGAGTTTTATGTGCTTTGTCTCCTTACTTTTTCTTAATTACATTGAAAATCAGGTAAAATGTTTAACTTATGTGCTGCCTACAATAATTCGTAAGCAAACAATGAGATCTCTTTTGGGTACTAAAAATGTCCAAGGTTTTACAAAGATATTTTTGTCAATAATCACATTGTCAGAGTCCCAGTTCTTTTCATATCAAAAGCACATACACACTCACACTCACACACACATAGAGACATTAAAAGCAGAGTATGTCACATTATTTGAAAATAACAGCCATGATCTATTTCCAGAATTATGGTTTTCCATTAATCACATTTTTAAAGTAAGACTGCTTAAAAGCAAGAACATCACATTTTTAATGAATTGAAACTTCCTTATCAGTCTTTTTAAATTGTTGGTTAAACTCAGATATGAGTCTAAGACTAACTATACAACATTATAGAAAAGTATAAATAAAATAATGTTCTAAAAATTGAAATATGCATGTGAAATAAAGATAGACATTTAAATGAGATAAAGACTAGGCAAAAATGACCGTTTCTCTTAATTTTATTATCTCATTTTACTAATTAACAGATAAATCTTTCAAACAAAACTCAAAATAAGATATTATCAATAAAATACATGACATTCCTTTGTGAGATGGTTTAATAATAATAAATAAATTTTATTCAAGGGAGGTAATGGCCAGGACTCATGATGTTTCTCCAGACAAAAGGCATGTTTTTTTTTAAAAAAAATCTTAGAAGTGCCTTTTTTTTTCCTAATTAGAAACATTGATGTTAAGATGGGAGCTACAAATTTTGTTTATGTCTTAAATCTATACTAAAAAGGTGAACTAAAAATTAAATATATTAATAAGCTGCCATGAATGAAAAAGAGAAATCTTTGACCTAAAAATATGATGATTTAGTGTCTTCACTGATTGATTACTACTTGGCTCTTCTCTTCCTTCATTTAACTGAGGGAGGTTGAGAAAAAGAGCTTATTAACATTGAAAAGAAAAGCCTCAAAGTGTGCATTAAAGTAATAATTTGAAGAAATGTAAAAGTGGCTGAAACATACACTTTTTTCATAAATACACGTAAGAAGAAAAACTTAAAATGCCTTTGCATTTAACAGATTGAAAAGTTTAATTATTTGATATTTTAAAATGCTTTCTAATGCCAGAAATTGTCAACCTCACATATTTCCAATATTTATGTATTTGCCATGTCAGCTTATAGTTTCTGCAATGATTTATTTACTTGGGGTTTGTTTTTACTATTTCTTTTCTAAATTTGGTTACCCCAATTTCAATCTTCTGTTGTCATATAATGGCTTTTTAATCCTTATTTTTATTTTGAGCTTGTATTTTAAAGAGGAGAATAATAATAGTACATGATTACATTTACATTGGACATAATATTTACTGGCTACTGTGCCAAGCACTTTACTTTTATCAAATCATTTACTTCTTAAGAACCTATTATTGTCTTCCTCATTTTGCCAATGAGAAAATTGAAACATAGAAATGAAAGCAATCTTCCAGGTCATCCAGCCAATAAACTGCAAAACTAGAATGGAATCTATGCAGTCTAGATGAGCGTCAAACCACTACATATTGCTGCTTATTTAACTTTTTGGAAATAACTTAGGGTCTGTTTGAATTTTCCTTTTGCTTTCTGGCTTATATTATCGACTGGTGTGTAATGTCTTCTTCTCTGTCTCTCTCTCTCTCTCTCTCTCTCTGTTTGCTTGTGTGGGTGGTTCAGTGAATTAGTTTTGCTTAGTTCCATGCCGGTCCTTTCTTTCTTTTCTTTTCTTTTATTTTGCTTTCTTGCTTTCTTCTTTTTTGTTGGGGTCTTACTCTGTTGTCCAGGCTGGAGCATAGTGGTGCAATCAAGGCTCACTGCAGCCTCAATCTCCTGGGCTCAAGTGATCCTCCCACCTCAGCCTCTAGAGTAGTTGGGACTACAGGCATGCACCACCACATCCAGCTAATTTTTTATTTGTTATAGAGATGTGATCTCCCTATGTTGCCAAAGCTGGTCTTGAACTCTTAGACTCAAGCAGTCCTCCTGCCTCAGCCTCCCAAAGTGCTAGGATTACAGGCATGAGTCACTTTGTTGTTTCTCTTATAATGATTACTCATGTTTGAGTGAAGGAAACTTTTTAAAGATGAGTATTTTACAGAATTTTGAATGAGGGAGGAGAGGAATGAGCTTGAGGAATTGAAGAAATGAGCAGGCATCTTCAGCTTAGGTACCATGTCTCTGAACAATTTTTTTCCCCGCATCTACTTTGCTCTTTAACCTGGGTATGCACAGCCCTGTGTGGCCTTGGATATTTGAAGGTCAATCATCACTTTCAGTTGATCATGATCAGCAGCCGCAAACCCCTTTGCCATTGGCCCCTTCACCACTTTGCCATAATCACACCCTATATTCTTATGTGTCCATAAATTTCCTTCAGTCTGGGTGTCTCTGCTGCTCTGAGGTATAGAATCAGATTCAGGGAATCTCTTGAAGCTTGCCCATGACCTGGAGCTTCTTTTTTTCTGATAATGATCAGGGATGCACATGGGAGAAATCTGGTGCTATATGGGATCTATACAAATGGGGGTAACCTCCATTGATTTCACCCATATTTCTCTGACATTTGGAGCTGTTTCACAGAATTCATTGGCGGGAGTTGTGGCTATTTATTATATTTACTAAAGACAGTATTTTGTATGTGTTTTATTCCTTTTTTGTTTTATCTGGTGCAAGAGAGAATGGGGAAATTGTTCTCTGTTCATTTTTTTGGCTTATGGCAAGATGTCTTATGCTACTAACATGTTCACACTTCAGGAATGCCTATCAATGGCCTCCAAGCTCCCAACATCATAGGCTCTTTTCTGAAGTCATCCCTGGTGTTTGATGATGTCTCTCTGTCCTAATTTGAAATCCTGTTGTTGCTTAGTGGCGGTAAGAATAATTTCCCCTGCCTCTCCTCCTATCTCTGATTGTAACTATTTTGTCTTGCTTTTTGTCTGGCTTCCCTTCTTCTTCCTTCGATGCTGGTATTCTCCAGGCCTCTACCCTTGACTCTGTTGACTTGTTATGCAATATGCTGTCCTTCAGGGATTTCATCCCCTCTCATCAAACAGGTGCTTCAGCCCAGATTATCTACTATTCATTTCTACATTTATCTTACATTCCAAGACACTTTCCACTTCATGTCTCACAAGTGCCCCTTATATTATAAAGGGATGCAATTTTCTTTTCTGACAAACTTGTTCCTTCTTTATTTCATATGTTGGTTAATGGTATTGCTTTTCTCTCAGTTAAGCAAACCAGAGACTTAGTCTGTCCCTAGAGTTCTCATTTTCTGCATCCTGTTCCTCTTACATGACTCTATCCTGTGTTTCTGTTTTTGTGACGTCAGCCACATCTTTTTCTGTGCTACATTACGTAAGCCCAACTGCCTTAGTTTGAACCATCATCAGACATCATCTGCTCTAATGCAATTATGTCCTAATTTGCCTCCAAGTATCTGGTCTTACACCCCTCTGATCCACTCCCTTTCTCACTGCTGGAGGGATCTTTCTAATATTCAAAATGGATCACGTCACTTCTAAGATTTACTACTGCTGTGATTTCACTTCTCAGTTTTTCAGTTGCCTCCACTGTAAAATGCAGATAACAGTTATATTCCCTCATATTATTGTTTTCAAAATTAAGTGGGACACATCGGGAGAAGTGCCCAGTGCATAGTAAGTGTCTCCAAAATGCTCACGTCTCCTGTGGATGCCCTATGTTCCCTCAAATTGAAATCCTTTTCGTTTCCCATGCTCCCTCTCATCTCCACACATTTGCAGATGCTTTTTTCCTGGAAAATTTTCCCTCTTTATTCAACTGAATAATTTCTAGTCATCCCTTGGGACTCAATTTATCATCCCATCCTGAGAGACAATATCTCTGACACCTGAGTAGTAGATTCGGTGTCAATACTCTGTGCTCCCAAAGCATCCTTCATATCTTCAATCTGCTGATATCTTTAGCTAGACATTAGACATTGTGGGAATCTAGCATAGTACCTAGCTAGATACTAGATACGTGTAGAAATGCTTTGAATATCTTTGATTGAAGAAATAAAGATGTATTTTTAAAGGGCACAAAGTGTAGGCTTTTACTACTTTTAAAATTTTTAAATTTGACTATCTGTAATTTCACCCTAGAGATACATCACTGCAGCTCATTTATTTGCTGTACCTATGAAGAGAACCCAGCTCAGTGTTTCTAGTTCTGCCTGCTCTGATTCTCTGTAAAGTGCACGTGGACCCAATCAATGGAAAGGAATTCCTGCCTGCCTTGGGTATTACTAAGAAATTTCTTCTCATATAGCACTCTCTCACAGTATTGGAATTTTTTGCCTGTATTAACTTACATATCTAACTACCGGGTTAATCTGTGAGCCCCTTTTATTACTCGTGTTCTATCTTCAGCACCATGGTGGCTATTCTCGGTTGCTAACTCCTTCCCTCAGTTCTCTGGCTTACTGTGCCCTGCCTTGTGCCCTTGAAGGCTGACTGTGAATGATGTCACTTAGGCTCCCTTCTCTCTGGCTTCCCATTGAGTTCAGCCAATGAGAAGCATGGACGGGAGGTGGTGAGCAGGAGAGGAACGTTCAGGTAGTTTGTCTCCTGCTGCTTCCTAACTTCCCGCTGCTGTGGCTGCAAGCCTCTAAGACTACAGCTCCTGATGAGAAGCACTCCTTCCCCAGGCCACCATGGCTACACATCTAACCAGACTCTGGTTGTACATCTTTTCCTTTTGCCCCTCCAAGCCTAATAGTGAGATTCATGACTTTCTGAATTCTTACTGTTTTTTATCTTGGAGACTTGAAAAATCATTCTTGGCTTTTCTCAACTTTGCTCATACCTCTGTAAATAGTCTCTAACAATTTAGAGACTAAATAATCTCTTCCAAATCCCAGCTGAGAATTTCCAGGCTTCTGTTACCCAAAGAGATCATGTATGAAAATAAGTACCGTGTAGTGGCAGGCACAAAGAAAATGCTAAATGATAGTTTGTGAAACTAACAAACAAAAGAAATAAGTAAATGAATGGATGCTTAGTTCATTCAGCCCATCTGTTCTCAATGAAAATTCTGTCATTATCTTGGTTAAATAACCTGCCCAAGTAATATTAATAGTAGTCAATTATTGTGAGTCTTTGAGAACTTAATCCCTACTAACAAAGTACAATAACTGACAAAAATATCTCATTGGAACAAAACAATCTAACTTTTCATATTCTGTGGTACATTTCTTTCTTTTATAAAACTATCCACATTTTATGAAATCTATATGGTTTTTTGAGAGAGTAAACAGGGGAACATCTTGTTATTTGAAATGCATGTATAGGTGGAGACAAAGTTAGGTGAAGAGAAAATGGTGTTTTGGGCAATGCTGAGGTATTCAGTGTTAGAAGGCAAGAGTTGCTAATATTTAATAGAAAGTACATCTACTGAAGATTATATTTCAAGCTGCATATCTCTTAAATTGATTACATTAAAAAAGAATGCACATTGATAAGATATTTCACAAAAACTGTAAATTATCTCACAGTAGGGTAGTAGATCAGCTTATATATGCAAGCAAATAGTTGCTTACAGAGAAAACCAGAGGAAGGTAATTGTGAAAAGATCAAGAAAATATGATAGATGAGAAGGAAGAGACAGTTTCTAAAATCACTGAAACCTAAAACAAAAATCTCAGAACCAGTGTTAGGAAATCTAGGAAAAATTGGAATCTAGGACAAATGGAAAGATTACTTTAAATAATGAGTAATTTAAGTAATGAATATTTCTTTACTACTATTTATTTAGTAAATTACTAAACATTACTTTAAATGATGAGATTTTTTAATGCCTTTGCCCTGAAAGACTTCCTTAGTGTTCTAGATTCAAAACATAAACTGATTATCTAAAACTGAGACATAATATTTCTGATGATTTGACTAATATAGTAATTTAACAGTTATTTCAATGTGGTTTTCTTATTTTTGATAATTGAGGATAGTTGTTGAAAGCCAAGGGGATTCTATTACTGCAAAAAATATGTAAGTAGATCGATTTCTTTTTAGTTTACAGACTGGATTTCTATACCATGGTATTTATATTAGAGACAGGGGAACAATGCATTTTTCCTATAAAATATTTAAGACATCCATCACAGAAAATGCCATTCCGCAAAACCCTGTACAGATATACAAGCTATTTTATGTCACGACTACCACTTTAGAAAAAATGTCCCAAGAAGTGAGAAGGCAATTGCTATTTTTCTTTTCTCTCTCTCTCTCTTTAATTTTTACTCTGTGGGTATCTCTCTGTAAAAGATTTTAGGTGAAGATTATGTTTATTGTTATTTTGTGTTGTTCTTGTTACCAATGAGTAGATATGTTAACTATAGTAACTTTAGATGTGCACATTTTGTTTGAAAAGAATTATGGAAAACAATCAAGTAAGTTTGCCATTGAATTATATTTTTAAAGAAGAGGTTATACAAGTTAGATTTATCTAATCAAGAAATAGGTATATAGATTTAGATATTTCAATTTAAAATTCTAAACATATTTAATGAAAGAATAGGATTTTGCTGAGTTAATATTTGCTAGGGGAAACTAATTAATAGATTTCAGGAATCTTGTCTAGCTCTTCCTAAGATGATGTGAGGTGAATAAACTAATCAGTAATAAAGGTGATCATTTAATAGTTTATAGATTGACACGACTCTTAGAAAGGTTAAATTTTCCTCCATTAGTTTTTTTCTCATTAAATTTCTTTATGCCATTTTCTACAATGTGTTTTCTGACAAGCATTGAGTCATTGGTGCACGCAGGCAAACAGCCCATACATTCACCCCATAAACACAGATATGCGCTCACATTCACATGCGTGTAGAGACTCACAGAGGTTTCGGCTCTGAGGTGAGTCGATTTCAAGTTCATCTGTTCAGAAGGACACTTTCATTCTCAGCCGTCAGAATGCAGTGCAGTAAAGAGCCTCAGTGTGGAGCTCAACCACAGCCTACAGCAGAGGATCTTAGGGCCCTACCACCTTGGTGCAAGGTCATTCAAATTCCCTCCCTCGGTTTTTCTCTTTCTCCTTTATCCAACTGGGAATTCAACAATACAATCTTGAGTGGAGTCTTCAGACTATACCATTAGCTTATTGAACAACTGCACCTGCTTTTAAATTTTAATGATGCATTTTTAATATGATAAATGTAGTATACTTGAATGGTTTTATATGCAGGTCAGATAAACTATGATTTTTGTTACTCTTCAAATACTACTTTCCAAAGAATAGGCTTATAATTGTAAGGCTTATATAGTTACAGATGTACCTGTGGCTTAAAAATGACTGCTATTCTGTCTCAAGGAACAGAAAGTAGATGTTGAAAGCAAGTGTTTTAAAAATTTCATAAATTGAGACATTTTAACTTAGAATTCAAAAGAGTAAGAAATATGTTTTACCAATATTCTTGCTAATTGTGTTTAAGAAAACTTTAGTTTGCTGAAACAATATAAAGATGACATGTAGAGGTTGCCATGGAAACTATTCAGGACTCCATTTTTTCATGGCTTGTGGAAACAGAAATTGTGAAGGTTTGATATGGTAATTACCTGATTAAAACAGGAAATCATCTGGAAATCAGATTTATTTAAAAGTTGGGATCTCCTTACACATCCTAGACACCTTTAATCTTACAACTCCACAGGGAGTTTACAATGACCCAAAAGTAGAGATAAGGGGAAATAGTTCTATTTTTATGAAAGGCTATTTAATCTGCAAAATGAAATAGAAGATTGTGATGAAAGATTGAGGCAATTTCTCAGGTAATTAAAAAAGTTCTTTTAAATTACCCCAATTATCTGGATATTTCACAAGAAGAAAAGATGTTTGATTGGAATTAATAGGATATTAAACTAATTTCTGTAGTTTGGCTTATTTTTTAAAGCATGCTTTGGAACATATCATTGTTTTTGAAGTCTTATTTCTTTGTAAATTTAAAAACCTCTAGCATTGGTTAAGAAATATTTTATATTTTTTGAATAAGTAACATTCCTCCTTTGCTTTAAAATAGTTTTGTGTTCTTTCTGATATAATTGCTACTGATACATATGCTTTATTTTTGTGTGGCTCTTTTGAAGCCTTGCATATAGTTTAGAACTGCATAGGTAGCTAAAATCTGAAACAATCATATTAAACTCGTCTTCATTAAAAAAAGCATAGGAGGGATCAGAAAGCTTGTTTTCTGAAAAGAAGCATTAGCAAAATCACTTTAGTAAATCTAATGTGATATTACAATAGTTATTTGAAAATGGCTCAATTTAGTCTTGGCTTTCTCATAAAACATAACAGAAAGTCCTGTTGAATTTGTAAAGGTAGATTCTGAAAACACTCTGATATTCTTATATCAGAACTACTCATATACACACAAAGTTTTGGGTAATACAAGCAATTATAAAGGAAAAAAATCCAAATGTATTCTATATATTCAGAAAGACTAAGGATATAAAACTCATATGATAAGAATCTTGGATATTTGGGTGAGAAAATTCACCAGATGAGCATGCTATTTTTAAGACCAAAGAACAATAATACATTTAATCCAACAGCAATCTTATATACAGCCACTCCTATATCTATCCCTCTGTCACAGAATTTGGCAATGGTTCAGTATGAACTAAACCCTGAAGTTAATTTAGTAAATTGCCTAGCCCACAATAGTGGAAGGAACCAGGAAATTAGACGGGACTAACAAATAGTGTGATGGATGTCACATGTAACAATATCTATCATCAGTTTGTGAGATATTAATCCCAAATAATTTGTGTTACTATTTGAAAACACTTTAAATCTTATTTTATATGTTTAAACTAATTCATTGATTGATTGTGCAAACCACCCATTTTTAGAAAACAAAATCAACCTTTTATCAAATGGCTGAACTAGAAAATAGTAGTGAAGTGATCATCCTCTTGACATTAAGGGACCTGGGTTCCAGTTGTCCTTTAGCAGACACGACACGGGAGCCTCCGTTCTCTCACTTGGGTTAGAGTCAATAATATCAAAGTTTTTTTCAGCTCTATAATTCCTTGAAAGTGAAACTATTTACATTTCTAGTACTGCACATATTAGTCAACATCACTGTCAATCATTTGTGGGTTTTGTCATCTCCACTTGTCTGTGCCCTTTTCCCAAGCAGGAATTGTACCATTTCATTTCAGCATACTCAGAGCTGAACACCAGGCCTGGCACATAGGCATAACCTGATAAGATGTGATGAATGTATATACACAACTGTTATTCTTCTAATAAACGTAAATAGTTCAATGAGTATCACATTGCAGATCCTTATGGAAACCAATCAGCTAAATGCACTGTGACTCATTTTTACTATATAGAAGGGGTAAAATGTGTCCTTTACTAGGAATAGCAATAAAACTGCATTCCTAATTCATGTATGCAGAGTCCTGTAAAAGATAGACTTCAGGAAGCATCACAGAGAGGTTGGTAAACATTGTATAGAGACCATGGATGAGATTACCCTCTGGACACGAGGGAAAGATGAAATTCTAGGATCCATGTGTACCCTGGCCTCTTTGCTGAGATTACAAATGTGTGCACATTTGCTCCTGTGTGCTTTTGAGCATTAATTTACTAGAAACTGAATTGAGTCCAAAATCTATTTCTATTCTGGCAGTGTAGCATGCCAGAATTTTTTTTTCTTTATGTACTTTTGGCATATGTTCAATTATAATTAATTCTTTAAAATAATATTTCAGTTCCATTCTGGCTTAAAGACGTTAAGTCTCACCAATATTTATTTGCACAAATAAGGACCTAGTTCATGCCTAAAAAGCAGTAAAAGTGACAGCTGATTTTGGGGTAGTGGTAAGAGGAAGGGGGAATTGTCAAGTACAACGTATGACTCCAGGAGGCTCCTATTTATACTTGAAACATAGTGTGATTTAATGTAAATAGGATATTATTGATATGCAGCCCACACACCACTGCCTGAAATTATGGTTTTTATAATTTGTTTCCTTTTGTGTTTTCAATATCCACCATTAGACCATGAGCTCTGTTTTATCTTCTGCTTTATCCCCAGTGTCTGTTTACTCAATGAGTATTTACTGAGTGAATGAATACAGTCATTCGTCTATAGAATACTTACTGTGTGCAATATTGTTTTAGTGACTTGGGGGATTAAAAATAAATCATAAAGATACTCACTTATGTAAAAGTGACCACTAGTTTACTTATAATAATTAGTAAAGCCTAAAGAACAATTTATAATGAAATACAGAAGAATTGTGCAAAATGATTTTTTTCTTTCTTAGTAAGGGTGTTGAGATAACACAGGGTTTAGAGACAGATGTCTTCACGTAGGCACTGGGACTTGAACATAGCCTTGATGACATGTTGTATATTATATGTATATTACAATATGGGGTAGCCGCGAACTAAGAAGTGATACTAGATGTTCTATCTTTTGGGACAGTAAGGAGTTTTCTTTGACTAAAGTAGATGGTGTAAATGGAAAGTAGTTTGGAGATTAGCATGGGTACCATTACAAAGGTCCTTTAAAAAGATAACGACATTTGTTTCTGATTTAGTAGACAAATGAGTGATATAATGAAGATGGCATTTTAGGGAAATGAATGTAGCAGTAATGTTTAGGATCATTTGAAATGTTGGTGGAGTCTGAAATCTGGGTGATTATTTTAAGAGAAATAATAGCAGTAATTCATATATTAGATCATAGGGGCATAATGGCATAGTCAGAATGGAGAAAGAGACTCCAGAAGACATTATAAAGAATCAGACACTTTGAAGTAACTGGAGTAGATGAAGGGAAGTGATATGTCAAAGGTGATTAGAAGGTTTCGATTCAGAGTGATAGGGAGAATATGGTATCTATTGTAAGAGAAGTGTAGAGGGAAAACTAGTTTTGAGGGAGAGGATAGAACTGGATTTTTGGATAGACACAGCTGGAATCACATGGGCAAATCTGCTTGCCATCATTGCATAATATTAATTAACTCAACGTTGTTTATTGAGCACTACCCTGTGCTGGATAGCATGCTAAGCAGTAGCAACCCAACAGTGAAAAACAAATAGATATTCCCTGCCTTCAGGGAAGGAGGTGATATCCAACTAAGATCTTTGGAGTAAGGGAGAGTGAATCGGCCAAAGGGAAAGAGTGGAACAGCATCCGAGACAAGATGGGTAGTACATATAAAAGCTTGAGGGCAGAGAGAGTCCAGCATATTGTAAGGGGTTAGCTTAGTATGGCCGGAGGATGCATAGTGGCACCTTCTCCTAAATTCATATGATTCTATTTTTGTTCTCTCATCTTGGTATATGTCATTCATAGTAGTGCACAAAAAACAGATCAGTTTCTTAGGGGAAAATTGAAATAAGTATATTAATTACTTAAACATAATGAATTATATATAAGTATTACAAGTTTACATAAAAATAAATAACCTCAGATATTTTTGGTTAAGAAAGACTTACGAAATCATCTATCTTTTTCACCGAAGTGGCACTATGTGGCCTCCTGGTTATATAAAGGTCCCATTTAGCCCCTTAGGAGAAAAGGGTAGCAGAATCTTCTGTACCCTAATAAAAGCCCTGCAAAACACAACTTGATATGTTAAATATGGGGAAGGAAAAAAATTGCAAATGGCGTACAAGAACCTTTTGGAGAATAAGAGATTGAACCCTCAAATTGCTGATCTCTGGGGTTAAAAGGGAAATCCATTAAGGTGGACTTGGGTGGCTAAGATTCAAGCTGTAGGTAGGAGAAGACATCAATAGCTTCAAAAGGGACCTTTAATCTAGTGACCTACGCATAATCCAAAGTTCTCAGTACTGAGAAGGAGGGTGAACCTATACCTGTGTGGTGGGACTGGGGTTCATTAGGACTAAGAACGCCTGGCATTATATTGTGCTTACAGGAAAATGAATGCATATATGAATGTAAACTTGGCATAGCTTGAGGCCCAGAGCAGTCATGGAAGAGTATCTGGTAGACTGTCCAAGAACAGTTTTCAACAATGGTGCATGTGGAAATAGCAACAGTAGTGAACGGAACAGATTCTCCATTTCCTTTTTGTGGAGGGGTTTAACAAATGAGTTGGCTGCTTTGGTCCCACTGTGGCTCGGGATGATTGGACAGTCAGAGACCAAGGAGGCCTCAAAGAAGAGACTGAACTTTCTGCTTAAAAGAGTGATGTTTGGGTTTTCAAAATATTAACAGGAAGAGCCAAAAAGATGTGTCTGTAACTACTTCATAGGATTGCTGTGAGGATTTAACTAATTCAGACCTAACATTTAGACCTGTGCATGGTATAGGTTAAGTACTCAATACTGAGAACTTGATTTGGTGAAATAGCTCAACCTGGAAATAAACAGATAGACAGGTAGATAGATAGATAGATAGATAGATAGATAGATAGATAGATAGATAGATAGAGATTACCAAAATATACTTATCTCAATAGAGAAACTATTTGGAAAGGAATATCAAAATTTGTTCTGATGGGTATGAAATAAAAACCAACAAGTTAGTCTTAAATTTTTTTAGCTGAGACACCTGTATGGATGATAATCCCAAAGGAACCATGGCGATTAAGTCCAAGTGGTGAAATTTTTCTGTGCTCTGGGCAGCTCCTAGGTGGGTGGGACTAATGTTCATCTCCATCACTCCTTTTCCTCAACAACTGAGGCTGCCAACTTACTCCCACTTTCATGTTTTGTATTTTCTTTCTTGAGACATGTTAACATGTTCAACTAGGAATTGTCCAGGCTCGTACACCTGGAAGCAATTCTGTTTCTGTGTCTGAAAATTAACCTTAGGGTTATGAGGCATGCCAACATGACTTATTATGACCATCCTCCACAGACATGGAAGAGAGAAAGAGGAAGAAGCTGAATCGAGCAAAGAGGAGAGCTCCAGGAGGGCAGTGATTACATATCTTTCCTGTAATAGGTTTTAAGTCATAAACTTATTAGATGGGCTTGAGAGAAAGCCTTGCTGTATAATATGACAGAGCTTCTGGTGGTAGCACTTTGAGGGTGAAATGTTTCTGCATTCTTGCATCATCTGATCTGGTTTCAGGTAAGCACCATTATTTTCTGAGGTCTAAAGAAATTTTAGAAGTGTTCTCAATGTTACTGTCAACAATCTTTAAGAGAATAAGAAGTTAGAAGATTATAGACCAAAAAATTGTTGTAATTTTAGAAAAATAAAATGATATCTTTTTAAATTTGCAAATCTATAGTCCCTAGTATTCCAGGATAGTGAACAAAGGAAGTGACAGTAGCAGTCAGTGTGAATTAAAAAACTATGCTAATCCTATTTCCTTTGTGATAGTTTTGCTAGATTGGGAGATAAAGTGTCATAGAGTGTACTTGGCAATTTGCCATGAAAGTGTTGTGGGTGAAATGGGAAAATGGTGACTGGATTTATAGGAGGTGCCCTCATAACTGGCTGCCCATCAAACCCATACACATATAAACCCAAGGGAGGAGTCCTATGCCTTTTGCTGCTAAAACTCACGGTGTCTTGTTCACTCTTTCTCCAAGCACAGGGAGGCCTTGTTAATCTGCAGATAGAATTGAGTGTAGAGGCCTAGTAAGCTAACAGTTAGATAAATAGGGGAATCAAACACATCTCAACAGGATGTGTGTGTAGGTCCAAACCAAAAAAATTGAGGCAAGGTGTCCTTACTTGTGGTATTTTGTCAGTCGACATTTACTGAGATGCATTAAGAAAATGTACTTAAACTCTACTTGCCTAAACAGAAAAGTACTACATTGTATGTTTCAATGACAATTTCCCTTGCACAAAAATATCTTGTGGAGGAAGAGCTTCAAAATATCAAGAAGAAGATGAATATTTCTGATAAAGCGTGTATTCAACACACACACACACGCACACACACACACACACACATAGTTTTAGAGCAAGCAAAAAAAAAAGACATGATGTGTTTCTAGTTTCTGGTCTCAACATTGCATTTTTCTATTAGACCTGTGAAATGAAAATTAAATGTTACAGTTCTTAACTTGCCCTGTTCACTAAGATCCCAGGTTTTGTAAACCCCTTCCATCCGAGAATCCTAAAGGAGATAGGAACACTTGCTTAACTGACATTGGGAGAAGGCTCCCATTCACGCGGATGAGATACCTCATAAGTATTCTATAGTCTTGGTTTTGTACTTCTTTATGCATAGTATAAGCTCAGAGAGGACAAGATGTCTTTTGTACTCTTTTGCAGATTCTAGTGTTATCAATAATGTAGTAAGTTTTCAATTCTCATTGTCTGTTGCCAGGGTGGCAATAAACGTGCGTCATCCTCCATCCTTTTTCCTCTTATTCTGTTCTCCAGTTAATAAAAGTTGATTCCTTTTATTTAGAAAAAAGATACAGATTCTAAGTATTTCAACCTCCCAGTGAAACCAGCCTATTATCCTCTAGTTAAGTAAGCAGACAATGGATCAATACTGTCTTCTAAAATATCCATAGGACATTATCTATCAGCATTAACCTCATTGGCTGGAAGTTACCATTTCTCTCTAAACACTGTTACTGAGATAGCCCCTCAGCAGGTTCCCCTTACCCCCAACAAAATACATTAGAAACTGTGTTTTAATGTAATAACAGAGATTTATTCCTCCCCTTTATTTTATAAAAGATAGTATGATTACAATGATTTCTCCCTCCAGGTTTTTGCCTGGAATCATGAAGGCTAAAATATTCATTATGGTATCATTTACCAGAGTTAATTATAACACATTCGCTAATATAAAATACCATAGTTTCAAACTTCATTAAACTCTATTATAATTACTCTTTATTATTCCAATGTTCCAAGTCCTTTGCTTTTGAGGGTTAGAGTGTGTAGGAAGTAGAGTGTAAAAATATTTTGGATATTGGAAGATGAAATGACCTTTTGTATTACTCACTTTTGAACTATGTTTCACTTTTAGCAGTAAAAAGTACAAGTTGCCATGGAAATGTATGATGGTTTTATGTATCAAATGTGGGTGTGTGTTCAGTGGTCTCTACTTTTCTGGTAAGAAAAGAGAAATATTTGAGTTAAACTGTAGAGAATACAGAATGCTCTTAAACATTATTATAAAAAGATGCCCAATTTTAGTGGCATGATGTAGAATTTTACATGCCTTGCAGGACAGTCAGATTTTGTGGTACAGGATCAAGGGATAATAAAAGCTGTTCCATTTATAGACACTGGGGGAAAATGTGTGGAAAATAAAGAAACAGTTTGGAGGTACACATTCACACTTATGCTAGGTAGTTTTATTTTGGACCGTATCCTAAGTGCACTTCCTTTTTCGACTTGTAATATAAATCTCATTACATGGTACAGATTCAGTACTTAAAAATCTTGAATTTGTGATTTAATTTGATGGGCAATGAGTCAGAGTTTTCAACCTTTATAAATTGAATGTATTAATATGCACGTAGAGCTAAATCCCACCTAGATGTCTGGCAAGCAGACAGGTATTCCTGAAATTTAGAGATGGGGACTTTGAAGAAATGCAGTATCTAGAGCTGAATAGTTTGACTCAGAAAACATGAGTTTTGGACCTTGGAATTGGTCTCGGCATATTATACTTGACCAGATATTTTGACTCTCAATCTCTCTTCGTTTCCTTTTATAAAGAGAGTGCTTATTTTGTGTTCTAGAGAAAAATGGAAATGTGGGACTGAATTAATTATTTCATGAATGACTTGAAGATTCAAAAACAATCACTGAGCAAGTGCCCAGAATTTATAAAGGGTGCAGCCTTCAATCATTTTCCTCACTCCTCCAAATATAAGACCTAAAACTATGGAGAGCTTTGTTTCCCCAACTGTTCTCTTCATAGACAAAATTCTGAAAAACAAAAATCAAACCAGGGCTCAATTTATGTTTTTTCACGCCTAATGAGGTGAGAAATTCTAGGCAGGCCCAAGAAACATTTTCAGTGTACTGGAATTTGATCTCTGTGAAATTTAGCAGCCTCATTTTGACAGTTTTAGCTTAATTTTACATAGTTTTTCCCTTGCATTGTTTTAAGCTTGTACTAGCTTTTCTTTGTTAATAACACAGATGGCACTGAAACAAACCAAGTGAAATCCTGCTTTCTTTTTAAAGTACAGAAAAAAAATTAAATGAAAATTTACATAAAAACTTCTTAGAGAAGAATCCCTTTTAAACATAATGTTAGAGTAAGAATTTCACAGAACTCATTAGGACTTTAATTTTTATAGTAAAGAAAAACTATAATATCCATTGTCATTAAAACATCATATTTACTGGGTATCAATCAATAATAAATTGTTCTTGTGAAATGTTAAAAATGTGAGCATTCTAAAAATATTGGAAAAAAAGCCCAGAGTGTTTATGTGTTAGTAAGTTTTGATTTTATTGCATACAGGTCAGTTAATTCTTCAAAGATGTGTTAATTCCTTCAGGGCACTAGTCATGCATGGCTGTAGTATGATTCATTTTATGGAATTAAGTAATAATCTCCATAGGTTTATAATTTACTCTGAGAAAGCAACTTAACTCACTAAGAAAGTAAGACTAAATAGTCTACATAATCCAGGAGTGGTAGAGGGAGGTAAATATCATTTTCAATTGAGAAAAAAAGATTGGAATGCATTCTAGCATTTTTTTCTTCACAATTGGACCTTCCCATTTCTATGTCTTAGATTATTGCAATAGCTTCTTATGCAGCCCGTTTGATTACAAAGCTTATCTTCCAAGTCCAATATACATGTTGATATCAGGTGTCTTTCTGAAGACTTTAGTCATTTCTCAGCTCAGAAACAATCAGTGACTCCTCTTTGTCTGAGATCCCCTCCAATATGTGTTTTTTTAGTTTTATCCCTCTAGTTTCTCAAATTCTGATTGGTCCGCTGATCGCTGAAAATAGCCTGGATGTGAACCAGACTGAATTTGAATACCAAACTCCATACTCACTCACTTAGGCAAATTACTTACACACTCCGTGCTCCAGTTGCTCATTTATTGAACGGAGATGAAAATAATAGTTCCAGCTCCTAGGGCTCTTGTGAAAATAAAATGAATGAACTCATGTAAATGCTTATAGTGGTGCCAAGCATACAGTAAGCATAGCTTAGATGCCAGATATTACTATTACTTCTGCTTTCTCTGTGGTTTGTTCCTGCTGTCATTACTACCTGGCAAGTCTCACAGTCTCTGCATATCCAATTACCACTCCTCTTTAAAACCAGGGTCAGATGTTTTATATATCATGAAAACTTATTATTAGTAAAATAAAAGGCTATGCTCTCAATGACTAAATCATGGTTTATTCCAATCATAATGCACTCTTCTTAGCCTGCCCTGTATCGTAGTTGCATTTGCAAGTGTCTTTATCTTGCCCATGGGCGAATGAACCATTAGGAGCAGAAATTACATTCTATACACTCTTGTGCCTCTGGATATGTCAAAATAGCAATCATTGAGGGTAAATATTGAGAAATATCTCTTTAATGTCTAAATATTTTAATACTGTATATTTCAGCATATGACTGTTATGTTGGTCTGTGACTAGATTCCTTTTTACAGCTTAAAATTTTAAAATTTGGTTAGCAGTTCTCTAATAAGTCATCTTTGTCAGCATAGGTTTTTCCTAGACTTAATGAGACAAAACTAGAATTTTTTTAAGAAAAATTCTATCTCGGTAAAGTTATATTTTTCTACATGGTAGAGTGTAGTGTGTTACTGTGCAGTGGTTTTGGACATCTACATATAATAAGTATAGTCTTTAAAAGCAAGGCTGAATATATGTGTAATTATATATAGAGAAAAATTTATTTAAAATTTATACTGTGGTATTTGCCCACTGAAATCTTTGGATATTTCTGAAGGATGCACTCCCCCTCTCTTCTTTTTTTTCATTAATTTTTCCAGGTACCATACAATACTTAAATTTTAAGTTTACGTTTCAAGGGAATGTGGAGAAGTATATTTACAAAATCCAGATATTCTTCATGTGAATTTTAGCCAAGAAGCAACTTATCATGCCACTGAAGCAAGATATGTCACTATGGAATTTGATTTATTACATGCTTCAGTTCTTAATGGAACAGAATAAGGCAATCTACCATGATTGTTGCTTCGAGCATAAGGTTAGAGAAGAAGTAATGCAAACAACCTCAAAATGAGGATGATGGAAACTATCTGCTTCTCTCTAGGCTTCGTGCTGACATCCACCTTGGATCCTTGGGTCACTCTCAGCCAGATCATCTCAATCATCAGCCTCCTTATGTGACATCTGAACAAGCTGAAAAATTATTTTTTTTAAATTGGAAAAATAAGTGGTTACACTGCATCCTCTGTGGAAAATTTGGAAGTATACTTTGTAAATATGAGAAATTCATGAGGCTCAAGTGATTTATATCCTCCTTCAAGAAAATAGGGATTGGGGTAACAGAGAACCTTCTTATAACTCATGCAACTCATTGCAAGGTCAGTAGCCAATAAAGACATCACCATCCATGATCGATTGTAGATGGACTCCACCCCCAACTTTCCTTTTATCCCAGAGACCTAGATAAATGTCATGATGGGCCTTTAGTGTTCCAGCTTTGTCCTTTTCGGGCATCTAGCAAGACATAACAAGGGAGAATTAAAGAAAAAATATGTTAAGCTGATAAAATTTCACCTCAGAAGTAAAATGCTACTGATACTAAAGAGATGCTTTTGCAGGGTGAGGAGTAAAGAAATATATTATTTGATTGGCATGAGAATTACCCTAATATGCACGCCATCATAATTTACAGATTTATTCATTTGTATACCCGATTCAACTGACCTCTCTCTCTCTCTCTTTTTCTCCTTTCTCATTCTCTCTCTGTATGTATATACATGCAGAACTTCTCACAAAATGCTTAAGTACTCTATGTACCAGCCTTACAGTGAGGAAACGATTAGTAATACTGCCAAATGTTTGTAGGAAACTTCTTAGTTTTCAAAATAATTTCATATGTATATATATTTATTTTGATATATAAAGTAACCCCCTAAGAGATATATTGCATATTACCATTTAATTTCATTTCTCAGATCAGGAAAAAGGCATTAAAACATCAATAATTATACACAACTATTATGTACTCATAATAACTAAAAATAAAAAAATAGAGTAAGGATAAAATCTGGCAATTTGTATACGTTTCTGTTTGCTTTTTATAATATAATAAACCATATTTTTCTTCTAAGTTAAAAAATGCTATCAACCATAAAAATGCTATATTACATATTTTAAACTTTGAATGGAGGCCTCCCCAGTCATGCTGAACTGTGAGTCAATTAAACCTCTTTTCTTTATAAATTACCCAGTCGCAGGCAGTTCTTATCTGTTTTGTTTTGGGTTTATGTCTTTTGTTTTTTGTTTTGAGATGGAGTCTCACTCAGTCACCCAGGCTGGAGTGCCACGGCGCGATCTCAGCTCACTGCAACCTCCGCCCCCCAGGGTTTAAGTGATTCCCTTGCCTCAGCCTCCTAAGTAGCTGGGATTACGGGCACGTGCCACCACACCTGGCTAATTTTTGTATTTTTAGTAGAGATGGGGTTTCTCCATGTTGGCCAGGCTACTTTCGAACTCCTGATCTCAGATGATCTGCCCACCTGGGCCTCCCAAAGTGCTGGGATTACAGGTGTGAGCCACTGCACCCAGCCATGGGCAGTTCTTTATAGCAGTGTGAGAATGGATTAATACAGAGAGATTCTAAAACAAAAAGATAGCCTTCTCCATGTAAGAAACGGAGATTAATTTAAGGGAGAAAGAGCAAAGAGTAGATGATAAGGTACAGAGGATGAAGAGAAAGGCCCTCTGAGCAAGGGTCAGGATGGCTAATGAAAGAACAGGTGGTGAAAATTCTTGGTGATCAAGGATGTTGTATTAATATGTTATGGTAAGACATTTGCTGTGTGGTTCTGAAATTTTATGCTCATATTACCACAAACCTTCAGTAAAATTTTCTGTACTTATATGCTTTACACATATATACTCACCTGTCCAGAATCCCGAAAAGGGATTCTTTCACAGCCAGGTTTGTGAATAGTGTATGCAAACTGTGAAAAGCCAGACAGGTCAGCAAAAATCAGAACTCTGAATAAAAGTGATCACGAAAATGTGAACAGTTGGGAATTTGAAGATTTTTGGAGGAAAAGGTAATCTCATAGGAGAGCAAGCACAAAATTAGAGTGAATTTATTCAACATGCTCACTCTGTGTTCTCTTATCCTTCTTATGTTTACTTGCTTATTGCCTACGCTTTCATTTTCTTCCCCGAAGTCTTTTATATTTTAAAAGTTCCTTTCAGTGGTTTACTATATAATTATGACATCAATTATACAGTGAAAACTCATAGAATTAAAAAAAGGTGAGTTCGGAAGCCCAACTAATACAAACATTGTTTACTTAATGATGGGAGATCATAAGCGTAAAGGAAGGAACAATTTACCAAGCAACAGGCACAGTGTAGTTGATTAGTATCTCTCTGTTCGTTGAAGAGCAAAGCGAATTTACCCCAAACTCAGTTCTAGGACCTGAGAATGCCCAAATTGATCCTTATCCATGATTCCTGAGACTTCTTGAGGGCTTATGTCCTTGAAATCCTTTCTGCTGCATGCTCTCTTATCTTTGAAAATAAAATATTTTAACAATTCATGTGCACACACACACACATATGCACACTCAACATTTTGTATGTTTGACCTAACTGAGCCATCTTCCCCTCTCCTTAGTTCCAGTCTCTGTTCCCATCATCTCTATTTCTTTTCTTTTCTCTCAGCCTCAAAAGGGGAAAAATTCCTCTCTTCTCCATATTGCATACATAGCCACTTATAAGCACATTTGTACTTTATTATTATTTTTAAAATTTTTGTGGCTACAAATTATGTGTGTATATTTATGGGGTACATGGGATGTTTTGATACAGACATGCAATGTGAAATAAGCACATCGTGGAGAATGGGGTATCTACCCCCTCAAGCATTCATCTTTTGAGTTACAAACAGTCCAATTACACTCTAAATTATTTTAAAATGTACATTGATTGACCATAGCCACCCTATTTGGCACATTTTTATAACTTGAATATGCTTAGGAACATTACACTCCATACCTTGGTTAACATAAGTATTTATTTCATAGAGCTATGAGTTATCCCTAAGAGGAATTCAGATGGTAACATTTTCTCCAATTTTTCAAGTGTATAAACATTTGGTATTATATCTATATTATACATATCTGCAGACCATACTCATCTAAAATTGTGATTACCAGAACTCTTCTGATGACTTAATAAATATTCAGAATAGGCAGCTGAGAGGGTTAGAATTTAGTTGTCTGACTTTTATAAATAATCCTCTTAGTTGTTGGCACCCTGGATAATGTTTTATTATATTCATTGACTCAAGATTTATCTAATATGTTTATATAGAAGATAATTTAATCAAATGCTTAATTTATTTTCAAAAATGGTAAATTAGTACATCTGTGTTTTCAGAGATTATCTGCCTAAGAGAAATCCTATTTTAGAAACTCCTAAATCTAAACACAGTCAAAACATGAAAATCGCATTTTCTCTTCATTTTTCTTTCTTTTTTATTTATTTATTTAATTTTTTTTAACTTTTGCCTTTCATCTGCTGTTACACTGTGGTGCCAAATTGCTCTTCAAAAATTCTTAAGCCTATTTCAAAATTCTCACTAATTTCAAGTGATAACTAAAATCATTGGTTATAGATCTAGTGTCAAATAAGTCTTTATCTCTTCCTGTGGGCGGCTGTCTTCTTGGCTAATGTAAGTGAAAAAAGAACTGCATTTCTTTTTTCCAGTTGAAAATGGACAATTTAGCCACCGCATGTCTGCCAGTGTACCTCCGTACGAGATGTAATTATATGTGAAATAATAACCTTGCTGCCAAATAGTTTTCAGTGCTTTGCTTTATATGAGAAACAATACATTTTTAGTTCCAAAAGGCAATAAGATAATGACATTCAAGTGAATCTCTTGCTGCTTTTACTTTCTTACTACATTTTTAGTCTCTTGCTCATCCCTCTCTAGTTTTCAATATGTTAAGATGACAATCTCTTATTATAATTTAGATAACATAGCCCTTGGTTAATTTTCAGTCTAATTTTTTTTCTCTGAATATGTATGTATTGAAAAGTCTCTTCTCAATTTATGATAACAGGTTTTAAAAAACATTTCTCTCATATAAATCATCAGCTATTGTGTAGTGTTAGGAGTTTATAATATACTATTTTCACTAATCTATTTTAGTGAATTAAAAGCCTATTCAAATAAAAAAAGGAGCCAGGTAACATAAAAGTCAATAAAAATAGCCAATAGTTGTTTAGCACTAACCATGGATCAGTCATTATGCTAACAGCTTTATGTGTATTCTCTCATTTGTTCCTTTCTAAGCATCTATAAAGTGAGTACTATTCTTATTTCCATTCTACATATGCAGATTCTTTTGAACATATGATTTTTTTTCTTTTTTCCTTCCCAAGAAACTAGCCAACCTTTTAAATTATGGCTGAGTAGCATTGTGCTACAGAGCTGAAGGCAAAGTTATTAGACACCCAGAAGACCCTCTTTTCTTGTCTCTTAATTGCGATATCCTAGGTTCACTGAGGTACAGGGATTGCAAGAAAGAGTGACTTAACATTTTAAGACGGAGCAGTAAGCCAAATAGGGGGAAAAGGCATGGAAGCAGCATAAGGTGGTTATTCACATATTATTTCTCACTTTCAAATACATTTGGGGACTTGGAAATGAAAATATCAGTGGAGACCAGTCCTATTAGTTACCTATTGCTGTATTATAATAACCTCCAAGCTTACCTGCATAAAACAGCAATAAACACTTGTCTCATACAATATCTGTTAATTAAGAATTAACGAGGACCTTCCTTGGGAGGTTCTGGCCCTGGGTCTCTTATGAAGTTGCAGCCAAGATGTTGTACAGAGTTGCAGTCATATGAAGACTTGATGGGAGCTGGAAGATCTGCTTTTAAGATGGCTTATTCATATGGATATAAATTGTTGCTGGCTGTTGGCCAGAAGCTCTTCAGTTCCTTAACACATGGACCTCTCCATAGAGGCTGCTTAAGGATTTTCATGACATGATGGCTGGCTTTCCACAGAATGAGTGATTCAAGGTGAAAGTGGCTTTTGTGATTTGCCTTAGAGGTCATACAATGTCAATTCTGCCATGTTATGTTGGTCACATAGACCATCTCTGATACAATGTGGGAGAGTATTCTACAAAGGTATAAATTGCAGAAGATAAGAATCATTAGAGACCATCTCGTAGTCTGGCTACCATGCCAGTATATACTGAAGGCTGAAAGACTCTGTTAATATCTGTTAAGCCCCTAGGACCAACACATGACTACTAAAAGTAAAGAAAATACCCCAAAAGTAAATGAAATTAAATGATTTACTCACCTGGTAACTTGTGAGAATGTTCAGTCAGTCAGTCAACAAATATTTGTTGAGCCACCTCAGCATCACACACACATAACAAACCTGCACATGTACCCCGTGAATCTTAAAATTTGGAAAAGAAAAAACAAATATGTGTTAAGCATCTGTTTTGTGCCATGCACTTTTCTAGGTAATGAAGATTCATTGGCAAATGAAACTGAAAACTCTTTCCTCTCAAAGAGATTATATTCTAGTGTAAGAAATAAGCAAAGAATGTACAAAAAAAGATAATTTCAGATGAAAATCTATTGCATCTGAAAATAAAAGATGTTAATGTGATGTAAAGCAATGGGGGATTCTGTAGTTGGGGGCTCATAGTAGACTATTCTGAGGAGGAGACCTTGAAAATGAAATTTGACTGGTGAAAGAAGACAGCCACGTAAAGATCTGAGTGAGAGAATAGGATGGACCTGAGGAGGAGTAGGGTAAAGGGACTGAGAAGGAAACAAGCTTAGAGGTTTAAAAGGACAGAAAAAAAGCTCTTGTGGGTTGAGTGTTGATATGGTTTGGCTGTGTCCCCACCCAAATCTCATCCTGCTTTGTAGTTCCCATAATCCCCACGTGTTGTGGGAGGGATCTGGTGGGAGGTAATTGAATCATAGGGGTGGTTTCCCCCATGTTATTCTTGTGATGATGAATAAGCCCTCACGAGATCTGATGGTTTTATAAGGGGCTTCCCCCTTTATTCTTCTCATTCTTCTCTCTCTTGCCACCTTGTGAATAAGGACATGTTTGCTTCTGCTTCTGCCATGATCGTAAGTTTCCTGAGGCCTCCCCAGCCCTGTGGAACTGAGTCAATGAAACCTCTTTCTTTCATAAATTATCCAGTCTCAGGTATGTCCTTTTAGCAGCATGAGAAGGGAGTAATACAAGTGTAGAACTATGTGGTGAGTTAGGAACCAGATCATGTAAGGCCTAAGGTCATGGTAAAGCGTTGTGATTTTATTCTAAATATAATAAGGATTTATTAGATGATGTTAAATACAGGAGAGATGTGATTTGGTTCATGATTTAGAGAGTTAACACTGGCATTCTGTGCAAAATTGAAGAGTGAAAAGTGAGAGACTTTTACAATGCTGTCTCTCTCAGTTATTCAAGGGATAATTTTGGCAACTTGAATTGGAGCTGAGGTAGTACAGTTGGTAAAAAGCAGTCAGATTCAGAATATTTTTTGGAAGCAGAACTGAAAGGACTTGCCGTTAAATGAGAAGTGAAGTTTGAAAGAGAAAAGGGGAATCAAAGATGCCTACAAATGGCTGGCTTGAGGTATGGGCAGATGGTGGCCCCATATGTGGAGATAGGGATGACATCTGGGAAAAGCTGTACAGAGGTTGAGGGAGACAATTCCATTTTGGTCACTGAAGTAAAATATTCAGTGTATGTCCCATTAATTGAACAGGGTTGCTAGATGTCAAAGTGGAAATGTCATATAGGTAATAGTATATATTATTCTTTGGGAAGTCACAATTGGAGATGTAGATTTGAGAATCATCAGCATAGAGTATAGAGCCATCAGCTTACAGATGGCATATACAACCATGAGATTGGTTAGGACACCTCGAGAGGGAGTATAAAGAAATGAGCGCATAGTCCGGGATATTAGGGAGATGAAGAGAAGCCAGTGTGGAATGATAAGAAGAACCTGGCAATAAGGCAGGAGGAAAAACCATAAATGTATGTTATCTTGAAAGCCAAGTGAAAAATTACCTTGAGGAGAAGGTAGTGATTCACTATGGTAAGTGTTACTGATCAATCAAATAAAGTTATTAGTAAGGTTTCTCTAGAGAAATGGAATCAAAATATATAGATATAGATATAGGTATAGATAGATGTAGACATAGACATATATAAAGAGACTTATAAGAAATTGGCTCATGAGATTATGGAGGCTGAGAAGTATCATGCTGTATTATATGCAAACTGGAGACCTAGAAAAACTGGAGACGTAGTTCTAGGCTGATTCTGAAGGCCATTAGTGTGAGTCCCAGTCAACGGACAGAAGATCAGTGTCTCAACTCAAGCAGTAAAGCAGAGAGAAAGAATTCTTCCTTTCTTTGCCATTTAAAAAAATATGTAGGCACTCAATGAATTCACCGATGCCTATCCACACTGGGGGACAGCAAATTGTTTTATGTAATTAGGAGATTCAAATGCTAATTTCTTCCAGCAGAAACACCCCAAAATAATACTTAACCATGTATTGGGACATTGCATCATTGCCCAGACAAGTTGACACATAAAATTAACTATTACAGATTAGAACCGAATTAACTATTGAATTTGGCCAAATGGAGGTCACGTGTGAACTCCAGACCAGTTTAGAACATGGGGAACCAGTAAAGAAGAAGGATTGGCCATTGTGGCAAGATGAATACTCGTTGAATTACAGAGAAGACAGGGTTCAAAATGTTTCAAAGACATGAGTGTCTTAAATGCTGTTGGAATGTTAACTCATGTAAAAGCAAAGAACTGACCATAAATTTACATAAGTTAATGACCTTGATAGAGATAGTTTCAATATAGTAGTGGAAATGAAAGCCCAAGCAGAGAGAACTGAGGGGACATGATAAGTGAAGAATGAAATATTATTTTTTGTTGTTAAAAAAGGAATTGTTAGCTTAATGAAAATCAATTGTTTTAATTTCATCAAAATATTGGATATGCCATATCATTGAAAGATTTTTCATTGTATTCCTCTTCCCTAAGACAAGCATCACCAAGCAGCCTTTGTATTTTATTAAATTTTACATATTTCAGACAAAATAAAAAGATGATTATATATTTATTTAATGAACATCTGAGTTCATTAACCACCGCATTAACTACCACACAACATAGGAAATAAAATATTACAAATATAATTGAGGCCCTTGGTTTATTCTTCCCTAATTGCATTTCCCTCCCTTCCAACAGGTATCCATCATCCCGAATTTGGTGTTTATATGTTTTTACAATTAATAATGTATATTATATATCCATTATATATTGCATATATATTTTTGAAGCATGCAAAATATATATGGCATTATTTTGCATGCTTTAAAACTATAATAAAATCATTATGTATATTCATATATGGTGAATGAAACACATGCATGAGTATGTTCATCACAGCACTATTCACAATAGCAAATATAAAACAATTTTTTGCTCATTTTATATGTGAGCTTTCTTAATGGTGAAAAATGTAGCTATGCTCTATAATATTCCATTTTGTTAAAATTTGGTCATGTGTATCTCCATTTTTATGGTGATTAAAACATAAAGTTTCCAATTTTTTTATTGTTATACACATTGCTGAAAACAGCTTTCTTGTACAAGCCCCTTAGCCACATATATAAGTGTGTCATCCATCCACGTAGAAAATTTCCCTTTTCTCTAAGAAAAATAGCCAAAAGTCAGTATTATCATCACTTACATCTTCAAAGTCTTATTTTAGAGCCTGAATAGCCAAAGCAAACCTAAGCAAAAAGAACAAAGCTGGAGGCATCACATTGCCTGACTTCAAACTATTAATATACTACAAGGCTTCAGTAACCAAAACAGCATGGTACCAATATAAAAATAAACACACAGACTAGTGGAAGAGAAGAGAGAACTCAGAAATAAAGCCACACACTACAACCATTTGGCCTTCAACAAAGTTGATGAAAATAAGCAAAGCGGAAAGGACTCCCTATTCAGTAAATGGTGCTGGGATAAGTAGCCATATGCAGATTTAAACTGGACCTCTTCCTTTTACCATATACAAAAATCAACTCAAGATTGAAGATTAAAGACTTAAATGTAAAACCTAAAACTAGGTTTACTTAAATGTAAAACCTAAAACAAACCTCTGAAGAAAAGCTATGAAAAACCATTCTAGCCGTAGGCCCTGGCAAAGATTTTACAATGAAGACACCAAAAGCAATTGCAACAAAAACAAAAATTAACAAATTGGACCTAATTAAACTAAAGGGTTTCTTGCTCAGCAAAAGAAACTATCAACAGAGTAAATATACAGCCTACAGAATGTGAAAAAATATTTACAAACTATGCATCTGACAAAGGACCAATATCCAGAATCTATAGGGAACTTGAATTAACAAGCAAAAAATAAACAACCCCATTAAAAAGTGGGTAAAGAACACGAACAGACATTTCTTGAAAGAAGACATAAATGTGGCCAACATGCATATGAAGCAATGTTTAGTGTCACTAATCATTAGAGAAATGCAAATCAAAACTACAATGAGATATCATCTCATACCAATCAGAATAGCCGGTATTAAAAAGTCAAAAAATAGATGTTGATGAAGCTGCAGAGAAAAAGGAATACTTATACACTTCTGGTGGAAATATAAATTAGTTAAGCCACTGTAGAATAGGAAGCAGTTTGGAAATTTCCCAAAGAACTTAAAACAACTCATTCAGCCCAGCAATCCCACTACTGGGTATATACTCAAAGGAATATAAATCATTCTATGATAAAGACACATGCATGAGTATGTTCATCACAGCACTATTCACAATAGCAGATCAACCTAGAAGCCCAACAATGGTAGAACAGGTAAAGGAAATGTGGTACATATATGCCATGGAATACTACACAGACATAAAAAAGAATGAAATAATATCCTTTGCTGTAACATGGATGAAGCTGGGGACCATTATCCTAAGTGAACTAATGCAGGAACAGAAGATCAAACACCTCATGTTCTCCCTTATATGTGGGAGCTAAACACTGAGTACACATGGACACAAAGAAGCAAACAGTAGACACCAGGTCCTACTTGAGGATGGAGGGTAGGAGGAGGGTGAGGCTCAAAAAACTATCAATTGGGTACTATGTTTTTTGTCTGTGTGACAAAATAGTGTGTAGAGTAAACCCCTGCGGTTTATCTATAGAACCAACCTGCACATGTACCCCTGAAACAAAAGTTTTAAAAGTCCTATTTAAAAAAATCTATATAAGCCCTGTTGATACCAATTGTAAACAATGACTTTCAGTAATTTTTCATTATAACCACTTAAAATTTTTTCTACTATAATTCAAATTCCATTATTTTAGTCTAGTTCTCAAATAAAATAATGATAAGACACTGTGCAAACTACTGCACTTTAATATTTGTCATCCTAAAAAACTCTCCTTGGCTTAAGCCAGAGTTCCATAGAAATTATAACAATGAAACAATGTGTGATTTTGATGATGTTTATTCTGATGCTGCAGTTCTTGAAACACAAGTGTACCTTAAGATAAGTGATCCTGGCATGTGCGCACACATGAGCGTTTGTGTGTGTGTGTGCTTTGTGTCTCTGTGTGTGTAGTCAGGGCAATTACAGCAAGTAAATTTGTGATAACATGTGAAAAATTCTGTAATTGATTTATTTAAATATGCTTCATCTGAAATTTTCTGAATTATTTGATCAAAATATATACGTTTAAAGGCTAACACCTTACAAAATGCTAATTTTCCATGAGGTAGTAGCACTTTTAGAAAAGCAGGTGGGGAATATTTTCCCAAACATTTAAAAATTAATATTTTGTTGGCGAGAATTTAGTTGGTATTTTTGATTTGTCATAAGAGCTTTCAAAAAGCTCTATGTCTCATATTAAATATAAAGAATTATTTGACTGCTGGTTTTGAATGTCTGAATGCTAATACTACTTACAATGGATAAGAAACATAAAAGAAATGAGTGTTTTTAATTTTCTCTTGGATAGTATAGTCTAATTGGTAAAATGTTGGATGGTGTTTCTGTCCTCTTTATTTTCCATTTCTAATATAGAATCAATTAAGAGTAAGCAGTTGGAAATAATTCTTAACATAATTCTGTGATCCCTTTTATAATATAGTTAATGTAATTCCTCCAAGTAAATGGACATCAATTTCAATAAGTTTCCTAAATGGAGGGTGTTGTGTGAGGCCTTTCATCCTGCTCTTTTAAAACTGACAATTAAGTACATACAAAGTAAGTGGTGATTTCATTAGAATTCTGCAAATACCTGGCCAAGTCATCTGCTTTTACTATAGTCATTACTTCTTTTTATTTAAAAATATGAGGGATGAATTTTGTTCATTTCACTCTAGGTAATTAGAAAACAATTAAATATTTGGTAATACCTAATATATTTATAAAATTATATATATTTTATACATAAGTAATTGCGTATATATGTATATGTACAATATATTTTATATTTTACTTTTACATACAAAATTTGTTTTACCGTTCTAAATTTAATAGAATGATAGGCAATGTTAAGGCAGGAGAGTAATATAGGCACCTAGTAAGCATAGATCCAAGACTAACTGAGTGAAATGACAATATGCATTTATTCAACAAATACTAATTGAACATTTACTTTGTAAGCTCTTGGCACATAAATTCTACATGGAGGAGTGAGTAATAATGAAAGCACACAAGTAAATTGTATCGTATGTTGGAAGAGTAATAAAAATGCTTTGGAAAACAAAAAGAGCAACAAAAGGAAGATAGGAACTGCTAAGGTGGGAGGGGTCTTATCCTACATGCATTCCTTAGTGAAGCTTTAGCAGTACTATATTGTGAAAGAATGTGTTTCATAATGTTGACTGGCATATTAAATACATATGTGTATATATGTGTGTATGCATTATATCTTACCTATATTTACAATAGATTTTACATATAAAGCAACAACCTTTGTGAGAGATTTAATTATATCCATTAAGGTCATGTGGTGAGCTTATTCCCATCGTTTACTTTATATCCACTGGTATCTTTATCTTCTGTTTATTTCTGTAGTAATGCTATGTACTACAGTGTGTGAATTCCACCTCCCTTTATCTTCTTTATTCTTCTGAACCTACACACCAGGTTTAGTATCTCATATATTTTTGTTATTGCTTAATCTCATTATCCTTATTATAAAATAAAAACCCTTGACATTATTTTAATACAAAAATCATTTTAAATATTCCTTTTTATATAATTGTAAGTTGCATTGTGAAATCAGAGAGAAAAATTTAATGTTGTGATACATTAAAGTAACACTAGAATTTTATTGCTTGCCACTGTTTCATGTAAAACAATTTATACTTACATTAATGTGAAAATATTCTACTCAAAGAGTGTTTCTATTAGGTAGTATAAATTGTAATTTCTGGAAAAAATACACTAGATAATAATTTTCAAGAAACAAATGCTATCATCTGATAGTCTTTTTAAAATAAAAATCTAACACGATTAAATTAAATGAAAGACTGAAAATATGTAGGAAACAAAATTAAATAAAAATGAAATGTACGGGATATAAAGATATACTTTTAGTGTTTTTCATTTATCTTTTGTTTTAGATAAACATGTAATATTTATTTTTTCCTTTTCAACAGTAACCACCTCCAACCTTGTTCAGCATTAGATCTCAGAGGAAATATAAAGCCTATTCATTCAATCATTTGTGTATTTATTTAACAAATATTAATTGAATATACCAGAATCCACTGCTTCTGCTGCGTGCTAGGGGTACAAAATATAAATGCACTTGTAGGCTAGTGGTGGAGGCAGGCAAATGACTAAATTTTCACCACATGCTGAAAAGCACTAAAATAGAGCTATGCCAAGACTGTCATGAGAGCCCGGAGAAAGGGATACTTATTAAAACCGTAGAGGGAGGACTGAAAGGATGATTGACAGAACTCAAGGTATATAAAGGGGTGTGAGAAGGGCATTGCAGGCACAGTGAAGAGCAGAGACCAAAAAGTAGTGGTATACAAGTCCAGAAGCTATGTGAGAAATTACTTCATAGATCATTTTAAGTTGTGTGGACAGTATTCTGTAGGAAGACTGTGGATGAAGATATTACAAGTGTGTGTCATGGCTAGATTAAGTGCTAGAAATATCACTATGACAACAACCTGGAGAACAGTTTAGAAAGTAAATGAAAATATGGTGGCTGTTTATTAGATTATGTTAATTGTCCAGGAGATAAATATTAAGGAAGCTGAATTAAAAGAGCAGTGGCATGCTAGTGTAAAGTAGAGTGTGGGAAGCTCAAGATATGTAAGTGGTAAAAATTAATGTGGTAGTATGATGGAAAGAAAGCAATATAATAGCTTCTAAAATTCATGTGTGACTAAGTAGGTGGGGTTAACATTGATGAAGATAATATAGGTAGTGGAGCAGGTTTGTTGAGCAAAGGGATGAGTGTAGTTTTAGACATGAAGTTTTAAATCTCTGTATGAGATATTCATATGAAGGAGTTCAAGTTCTAGAGACATGTATTTTGGCAATATGGTACATTATATATTCAGAGAAAACTCACTGAAAATACTTTTTAAATATTTTTAAAATATAACTGAGGTATTAACAAAGTCAAAGAAATAATTGGTACAGATATTGTGAAAAAGCATGAATCTGGAGAGGTAATTGAGTAGTAGAGCCTGTTTTGACCTTAAGGGAGTCAGCCATTCCTCAGCATTTTAGAGGCTGGGCTAAGGGGCCAACCTGTTATAGGGTCAGGAGGCAAAATGTCAGTGAAAGAGGGAGGGAAGACAAAATGAAGAGTTCCTAAAAGTTGGCATTCCCAAAGTGACGTTTATAGTGGGCAACTAGAAAACAATCTGCCCATAATAGGAGCTGGTAATAATACTTATCTATCTTAACTTGCCTCTCAGCAAAGAAAAAAAAAAATGCCAAGCTTACACGATAGGAATGGAACTGAAAGCCACACAATTTACATGTCCAATAAAACACAAGCAAAAATTTTAGTTTATTGTAGACTCTGGTTGATAATGTCCACAGAAATTTGTTAGAGGAGAACTGATAACTTCTCAGGAGGGACACTTTTTAAACACAGGTCTTAAATTTATCTCACAGTTTCAAGAAACATGAACTTACAATTTAAAATTGCTGAACACAGGATGTCACAACTACCATGGAAGCAAGTTAGCAAAGCAAAATGCTGAATTTGACAGCAAGAACTGTGGATGTTGGTATTATCAGATACAAAGTACAAAATAAATATGTTTTTAAAGTTTAAATAAAGGTATTACCCCTGCCCTGCATCCTGCCTGACATTGGCTTGGCCCACCTTTTTCTCCAGTTATCACTGCGCCAACCAGCTTTCAGTTGGCATAACTTGAATATGTCTTGCCTTAGCTGAACTATGTATCTTTTGCTTTCATCTGCAGGCATCTCTGATGCCAAATGTAGGATGCCAGCACATACCCACTTGGCAAGTTTTCACATGTATATGTGTATGGGGGCAGGCTTTGACCAATTAGGGTTGGGAGCTAGTAAGGACATGCTCCCCTCTTTCATCTCTTCACAGTGGGGAGGGAGAAATCCTGAAGAACTTTCTACATAGCTGTTCAGAACGTCTGAACAGGAGCAAACCCCAATTGCCCACAACAGTGACCCTACCGATGAAAGGGCTTTTATTGGCTTCTTCTTTCAAACTTCCCATCTCCTTCCCATCTCCCTAGTTGTATGCAGCCACCTGCTTAAAAGGCTGTGTCTCAGGTCTGCTTACTGAAGAAGATAAGGGTCCCAGACACTGCTTTCTGGGTGGAAGAGGAACCTAAGCGAGAGAGTTAGGACTGCAAGTGGCCCTAAAAAACAGACATCAGGATGAAATTCTGGAACTATCATTGATGAGAAAAGGTGGAGTGGGATAACTCCTGGCATGCAGTAGCATTACAAGTACTAAGACTCTCATTGGCAGATAAAAATAAAATGTGAGTGAAGGCTTATGCAGTAGCAATGGCACTTGAAAAATGTAAGGGCTGTGATAATTGTAAAGAGTGTGGGCTGGGCACGGTGGCTCATGCCTGTAATCCCAGCACTTTAGGAGGCCAAGGTGGGCAGATCATGAGGTCAGGAGATGGAGACCATCCTGGCTAATATGGTGAACCCCGTCTGTACTAAAAATACAAAAAATTAGCTGGGCATGGTGGCGGGTGCCTGTAGTCCCAGCTACTTGGGAGGCTGAGGCAGGAGAATTGCTTGAACTCAGGAGGCGGAGGTTGCAGTGAGCCGAGATTGTGCCACTGCACTCCAGTCTGGCAATAGAGTGAGACTCCGTCTCAAAAAAAAAAAAAAAAAAATTGTGGAGGATGCTGCCTTTTGTTATCTGCTTTAGGAGTCTAGAAAAGAAAGAAAATGACAGACAGGCTGACCAACTATCATTTCAAGGTGTGCTATTAAAGTAAGGGGGTCTGTATGTCTGTATGCTCCTGTTTGAAAGGCTTCTTATCTCATATAGCCATAGAACAAATACTGATAAAAGCCAGACCCAGAATTTAATTGTAAGGTTAACAGAATGACAAAGAAGACAATGCACAGCCTTCACAGCACTGTGTTAAATGCAGAACCCTAATAGATAAAGAGTGGGATTTTCAGAACTGGCACAGGGACATTTGATGAGTTCAATATGCTGGAAAATCTTAAGCCACAGATTCTTCTGAACCTTGAATTAAACTAGGCTTTTTTCAATTGGAGGACCTGGAAAGACCACAACTGGGGCAGGTGCCTCATAGATTGATATGGCTTCCTCAAGCTCTAGCACTGCCTTTCCTCATTGCCTCCAGACCTTTAACCAGAGTCAGATCTCAGCATAGCCCAAATGGAGAAATATTGTCCCTGTTCCGGGAGGAAATAGAATATACATCCACATACTACAAGCACATACCAGCAGGAGTTTCAAAAACACATGGTTGAGTGGAACTTGAGGGTGGTGGATTGGATGGATATTGTAATGGGAGTATTTTTCCCATGACTCAGGTTTTGAAGTCCTGGCAAGAGATCTTCATGCTGCTCATTGGATCCTTGATGCATGGACATGCTTCTATCTTGAAGAAAATTAAGTAGAGCTTGTAATCCTAGCATTTTGGGAGGTAGCAGCAGGAAGATCACTTGAGGCCAGGAGTTTGAGAGCAGCCTAGGTGGAATACTGAGACCCCCATCTCTACAAAATAAAATAAATAAAAGTAATGAACAAGAAAATGAAATAAATAATAGATACAGGAAATAATGAAAATAAACTAGAAAATCTAGAAGGAATGGATAAATTCCTGGACACATACACCCGCCCAAGACTGAACCAGGAAGAAGTTGAATCCCTAAATAGACCAACAACAGGCTCTGAAATTGAGGCAGTAATTAATAGCCTACCAACCAAAAAAGGTCCAGGACCAGATGGATTCACAGCCGAATTCTACCAGAGGTACAAGGAGGAGCTGTTACCAATCCTTCTGAAACTATTCCAATCAATAGAAAAAGAGGGAATCCTCCCTAACTCATTTTATGAGGCTGGCATCATCCTGATACCAAAGCCTGGCAGAGACACAACAAAAAAAAAGGGAATTTTAGACCAATATCCCTGATGAACATCAATGCAAAAATCCTCAATAAAATACTGGCAAACCGAATCCAGCAGCACAACAAAAAGCTTGTCCACCATGATCAAGTGGGCTTCATCCCTGGGATGCAAGGCTGGTTCAACATATGCAAATCAATAAATGTAATCCAGCATATAAAGAGAACCAAAGAAAAAAACCATGTGATTATCTCAATAGATGCAGAAAAGGCCTTTGACAAAATTCAACAGCCCTTCATGCTAAAAACTCTCAATAAATTAGGTATTGATGGGACGTATCTCAAAATAATAAGAGCTATTTATGACAAACCCACAGCCAATAACATACTGAATGGGCAAAAACTGGAAGCGTTCCCTTTGAAAACTGGCACAAGACAGGGATGACCTCTGTCACCACTCCTATTCAACATAGTATTGGAAGTTCTGGCCAGGGCAATCAGGCAGGAGAAAGAAATAAAAGGTATTCAATTAGGAAAAGAGGAAGTCAAATTGTCCCTGTTTGCAGATGACATGATTGTATATTTAGAAAACCCCATCATCTCAGCCCCAAATCTCCTTAAGCTGACAAGCAACTTCAGCAAAGTTTCAGGATACAAAATCAATGTGCAAAAATCACAAGCATTCTTAAACACCAATAACAGACAACAGAGAGCCAAATCATGAGTGAACTTCCATTCACAGTTGCTTCAAAGAGAATAAAATACCTAGGAATCCAACTTACAAGGGATGTGAAGGACCTCTTCAAGGAGAACTACAAACCACTGCTCAACGAAATAAAAGAGGACACAAACAAATGGAAGAACATTCCATGCTCATGGGTAGGAAGAATCAATATCGTGAAAATGGCCATACTGCCCAAGGTAATTTATAGATTCAATGCCATCTCCATCAAGCTACCAATGACTTTCCTCACAGAATTGGAAAAAACTACTTTAAAGTTCATATGGAATCAAAAAAGAGCCCACATTGCAAAGACAATCCTAAGCCAAAAGAACAAAGCTGGAGGCATCACGCTACCTGACTTCAAACTGTACTACAAGGCTACAGTAACCAAAACAGCATGGTACTGGTACCAAAACAGAGATATAGACCAATGGAACAGAACAGAGCCCTCAGAAATAATACCACACATCTACAACTATCTGATCTTTGACAAATCTGAGAAAAACAAGCAATGGGAAAAGGATTCCCTATTTAATAAATGGTGCTGGGAAAACTGGCTAGCCATATGTAGAAAGCTGAAACTGGATCCCTTCCTTACACCTTATACAAAAATTATTTCAAGATGGATTAAAGACTTAAATGTTAGACCTAAAACCATAAAAACCCTAGAAGAAAACCTAGGCAATACCATTCAGGACATAGGCATGGGCAAGGACTTCATGTCTAAAACACCAAAAGCAATGGCAACAAAAGCCAAAATTGACAAATGGAATCTGATTAAACTAAAGAGCTTCTGCACAGCAAAAGAAATTACCATCAGAGTGAAGAGGCAACCTACAGAATGGGAGAAAATTTTTGCAATCTACTCATCTGACAAAGGGCTAATATCCAGAATCTACAAGGAACTCAAACAAATTTACAAGAAAAAAAACAAGCAACCCCATCACAAAGTGGGTGAAGGATATGAACAGACACTTCTCAAAAGAAGACATTTATGCAGCCAAAAAACACATGAAAAAATGCTCACCATCACTGGCCATCAGAGAAATGCATGTCAAAACCACAATGAGATACCATCACACACCAGTTAGAATGGCGATCATTGAAAAATCAGGAAACAACAGGTGCTGGAGAGGATGTGGAGAAATAGGAACACTTTTACACTGTTGGTGGGACTGTAAACTGGTTCAACCATTGTGGAAGACAGTGTGGCAATTTCTCAAGGATCTAGAACTAGAAATACCATTTGACCCAGCTATCCCGTTGCTGGGTATATACCCAAAGGATTATAAATCATGCTGCTATAAAGACACATGCACACGTATGTTTATTGTGGCACTATTCACAGTAGCAAAGACTTGGAACCAACCCAAATGTCTATCAATGATAGACTGGATTAAGAAAATGTGGCACATATACACCATGGAATACTATGCAGCCATAAAAAATGATGAGTTCATGTCCTTTGTAGGGACATGGATGAAGCTGGAAATCATCATTCTCAGCAAACTATCACAGGGACAAAAAGCCAAACACCGCATGTTCTCACTCATAGGTGGGAATTGAACAAAGAGAACACTTGGACACAGGAAGGGGAACATCACATTCTGGGGCCTGTCGTGGGGTGGGGGAAGGGGGGAGAGATAGCAATAGGAGATATACCTAATGTAAATGACGAGTTAATGGGTGCAGCACACCAACATGGCACATGTATATATATGTAACAAACCTGCATATTGTGCATATGTACCCTACAACTTAAAGTATAATAAAAAAAAGAAAAAAAACTGTCATTGCACAAAACAAAGATGAATGGTAAAATTTATGCTAAATTTTGTATTAGCATACAATGTCAATGGTGATTTAATGGGTGCAGCACACCAATGTGGCATATGTATACATATGTAACTAACCTGCATGGTGTGCACATGTACCCTAGAACTTAAAGTATAATAAAAATAAATGGAGCAGAATGAATAAAAAAGAATAAATACAGGAGATGCCTTGGCAAACTGTTGAGGAGGAGTCAGAAGTCTCAGGGACATGTTAATCATAACAAGGATTTATTACATGAGATCAGAATTCCCATCACTTGGGTTCCTTGAGAAGATAAAAAAGATTTACTTCACTAATTCAGTAAGTTAATAAGTAATGTAATGTTAAGGGAATGTTTCTTTGAGAAACTAGGTGGTAGCTATCCTCTACATGCTAGAATTAAGAGTAACATGTGGTGTCATAATGTTGGGTTCCTTGGTATTTGTAGGAATAATGATTGAAAATTCAGAGGTCAGGTTGTGATGGTTAACCAACAGAGGCAAGGTGGATATAATATTATTAATGCCAGCAAGACCAAAGTGGCAGATGAATGACTTGAACAGCAGGAACCTGTGGTGATAGATAATAGCCTGTTGTATTCTTAGGGGTTACATCGATGGGCAATCAAGTAGGGTGTAATTTGACTGGCTTAACCAGCAAAAATTGAGAGCTGGCAAAGTGAAGGGTGACATCAGCTGCTACAATGGAAAATCAGGGCCCTTCATCAGTTTTAGACATGAGCTAGTTTTCAACTCAGTCTTGACAGAAGTGGAGATTGGGTCCCCTTGAGTGGAAAACATGGCATATTGCTACAACTATACATGAAAAATAATCTCCCAATCTTCCCTGAATAGACCTGTGGTCATGTGCCAAATTAACTAAACACTGGAGAAAAAGTTTTCAGCTGATATGTATACTAGGAGACTCCAAAGACCATACTGGTCCCCTGTCCAGAGTGAAGGAATGTGGAGGTCAAATGATAAATGGAGATTCGCTCAAGTTGATTTCACATTGGGCCAACTGACCTGTGAATCCACCTGGGAACTATTTCTCTGGCCCCCACTGGATACTTGGAAAGGATATACTTTGTAGTTTGGAGAAATTGATATTTGTTCCCTGTCCTCTGCATTAAGAGCCATTATGCTAAGAAGGGCCAAATGAAAATCCTAAAATTACAACCTCCTCTGATCCCTAATATATTTGAAACAGTATCACAAGGAAAATACATCATAATGTTACTCATTTTCTGGCAATTGGTCCATAGGTTAGATATGGCAAAAGTGTTCTTTTTAATCCTTATTCATAATGGGGCTCAAAGGTACTTTGTTTTTATATAGGAGCAATAGTAACATGTATTCACTGTCCACCTTCAAGGTTGTTAACTCTCCTGTTCGCCCTCAGAATGTAGCTTAAAAACACCTTTTTCATATTGGTGGACATCAGAACACTGTACTTATTCACTATATTAATACCACACTAATCATACCTGGTGTTGAGGAATGGACGTATGCTCTGAATGGCCTAATAAGACAGATGTGTGCCACCTGGATTCAGGGTCTGTCACATCAGTGAAGTTTTTAGGAATTTGTCAGGAAATTCCTTCCAAGTGAAGAACAGGTTGTGGAAACTTTTACCCATACAGTCCTTGGTGAATCTGTTTGGATTTTAGAGACAAGGTATAAAATCCTCTTTGGATATTAGAGGCATTGTCTTTGGGAGTATTGTGCTGACTTATTTATTGAGTGAATTGAAAGACAGTTGATTTTGAATAAGGCCAAGAGCAAGAGAGAACTGCAGCAGGACAGGTTGGACTGCAGGCTGTCCTGCTGCTTAGGTCACATAATAGAGCAAATATAGCAGTGCTAGGAATATCTGTGATGGAAAATGTTGTGTTTGGAATCTTTAGCAAGTTCCAGTAGAAGAGTCACAGTACAGACCTCTACATTTCTGAAAAAATAAATGTTCTCTATAGCAGAGAACTACTCACTACTTGAAAGCAGCTTCTTGAATATTCTTGTTCCTACTCTGAGAAACTGATTATGGGGTTGGGTGGATATTGGCTGTGTCCCCACCCAAATCTCATCTTGAAACTGTAGCTCCCACAAGTGCCAAGTGTTGCGGGAGGTACCTGGTGGGAGATAATTGAATCATGGGGGTGGGTCTTTCCCGTGCTGTTCTTGTGATAGTGAATAAGTCTCATGGGATCTGATGGTTTTATAAAGGGGAATTCCCCTACACAAGCTCTTTTGACTGCTGCCATCCAGGTAAGACATAAATTTGTTCCTCATTGCCTTCCACCATGATTGTGAGGCCTCCCCAGCCATGTGGAACTGTGAATCAATTAAGCCTCTTTCCTTTATAAATTACCCAGTCTTGGGTATGTCTTTATCAGCAGTGTGAAAATGAACTAATACAGATACCAACTGATTATTTCACCAAAATGACCTGACATGAACTGGGTTTTGTAAGTCCTAAAGTCAGCTGAGTGCAGTAACTACCCATCGTGCAATGAGATGATTTGTGTCTTCAAGATTAGGACCAAGAAGTTCCAAAGAGCACAAATAAGATGCACTAAGTGGTGACCAGACTCCTCTGCTACCCACTTCTGCTGTATCAGTGCCTCTCCTTCATTTTACACCTATATCTTCATGTGAGTAGGGGAGGCATTCCACATGACCAACTGACAGAGAGGGAAAAACTCAGTCTTGGTTAAAAAGTGAATTGGTCTGATATGTTGACACCAGTGTCAGTGGCCTGTCAGTCTACTGCAGTGCTACTGTGTCACTATCCCATCGTACCTGAAGGAAAGTGGTGAAAATGAATCCCCCCAGTAGAAAGAACAGTAAATAGTGCGTTTGGAAATTTGCTTTAGATGAAGAAAACATAGCCTGAATTACAGATAAAAGTTGACTCCTGGTCAGTGGCAGATGCTTGACTGATTAGCAGAGGTTTGGAAGGAACAACAGTAGAAGATTGAAGACATGGGAGTTTGAGAAAGAAGTATGAGGATGAACCCACACGAGTGGGTACAAAGGGTGCAGATCTCTGGGTTTCATGTTAATACCCACCAGAAAGACTCTACTGCAGAGAAAATTATCAGCTAGCCAGCTGACCAGGTGACTTGTCAGTGAATGTTGGTTAGTCTCTTTCATTGGCCATCCCAGTCTTGTCTGAAATAAGCCTATTGACAGAACAGTAATATTATCAGGTTTGGAGACTTTCCCTGGACATAACAGCATAGGCTACGTCTCTTAATAGCTTCCACTCGTCTAACACTCACTCTTTCATACCCAAACTGGAAATATAGGGAATTAACATCCCTTGAAAAGAGAAGAAATAGGAACTAGTGGATTAATGTTCCCTTATACAATTCTTCAAATAAATGGCCCTAAAGTTTATTCTACACACCTCCTAATGTAGTCCTGGTGGAATCATACTCCAGTTTTGCATAATACTGACCAGCTTGAAAGAACAACCTGATATTGACTTTTTTTTCTCTTTTCTTGATAACCTACTTCTATTTCTTGGAATCACTTTACCCAGTCACTTTAGCTGCAAGCAAACCTTTGTCTCAACTTCAGCCTTCTGGGAACACCAGACTGAGACGAAATAAACAGGGTATTTTAGGACAGCTGATCAAGATGACTGACTACATACAGCTAACAGGCTCTTCCTCCACTGAGAGGAACCAAAGTAACAAGTAGATATGCACCCTTGGAACAGATTGCCTAAAAGGGAGCACTGGGATTCAATAGAAAAATCACGGAAAGAACGGAAAGCAAAGGAGAGAGATGCGATGCAGTATGCTCATCTGGGAATGACTGGCAGCCTGGAGAAGCTCCCAGATGTGGAGAAAGGGTAAGTGAAGACCCTTAGGGCTCCACAATCCTGCCACAGATTTCTGCAAACCTAGCTACATGAGCGTCCCTTGAACCACAAGGGCTGTGAGACTAACATAGGAAGCTGCCTAGAGATTACACAGAGGAATTGCTACAGAGAGGGAACTCACACTGGACTCCCACAGGCCTCTGAGCCCCGAGCAACAGCAGCTTGGTGCCATTCTGAGAGCGAAGACTCCAAAGGACTGCATCCTGCCCTGATGGCAACGCTGCCACTCCTGCCAAGGAGGGAGAGAAAGGATGGGCACCTTCATGCATTCCAAGGACAAATCCTGTCACTGCTGCTGTGGGCCGCTGGGGGCGCTGAGGAGCAAGCAAGCCACATTCCCTCAGGCACCTACCTACCCTGCTCGCACTGAAAGTGACTCCACCTTCCCAGTGGCAGGCGCCCAGCCAGCACCATTCTGAGAGCCCAACCTCCAAAGGTCTGCATCCTGCCCTGGGGCCAGGGTTGATGTTGCCACTGACTTCCAGGCCAAAGAAGGAGAGGGGAAGCCAGCACTTTCATGCACTTCTAGGAAAAATTCCACTGCTACTGCTGTAGGTCCCTGCTGTGGGAATAAGGCATGAGGAAACTGTGCATCCCATAGCTATCTGCCTACTCTGTTCCCACTGACAGTGGTCCTGTCCTCCCCAGTAGCAGTCCCACAGCACAACTGTCACTGTGATGGATGGGCATTCTGCTGGAAGCCTGGGGATCGCCCCACCCCTGCCTACCACAGCCAGTACCTGAATGCACTACTGAGCAGCCTGAGGACAAGTCCACCTGCCAGGGTCCATCCCCCAAGTACTGAAGCACGTTGTCAGGTACTGGAGGATCACCCTACTTTCCCCAGCACTGTTGGCACCTATACACACCCCCTAGAGGGTGAGATTAGGCTGGTGGGACCTATGGATATGAACACAACTGGATATACATCCTATGAGTAGGCCAGGGGACCTGCCTGACCAACCTATTGCAGCCACTGTCAACACCAGCATTGTCTGCCTGGGTTCCAGTGGGTTGCTCCATGGCTGCTACTACCTTCACTCACATCACACCCACTGCCCAGAGACCGGAGAACCTGCTCACGTGCCTGGCCCACTGTTATCACTACCTGCTCTGAGCAAGCCACCTGGAGGCCCAAGAATTGGCCCTCCGAGACACACCAACACTTGTGCCAGTGTACTCTTCCCTGGGTCCCCAGGACAGGCATGCTTAACTCACTTCTGCCAGCACTGGGCCCCCCAAAAAACTTCACCATAGCCTCTACTAATAACTCACCCTAAGCAACTGAGGAAATCACAGACACTACTGACACTGTTTATAGCTGAAGAAATTACACAGAGGTTATACTACTGCATGCATCCAAAGTGAAAGCCAAAGTGCCCTATCTAACAAAAGACATCTATACAACTTCAGGAAAATGTCCTCCCCATGGAAGCAATTTCAAAAAATTGGAAGAAGTGACTTTTATAGCAGATGCACAGATATCAACATAAGGATACAGGAAACAGGAAAAAGCAAGGAAATAGGATACCTCCAAAAGGACACAGTAATCCTCCAGCAACAGACCTGAATCAAAAAGAAATTCATGAAATTCTAGATGAAAAATTCAAAATACTGATTTTAAAGAAACTCAGTGAGATACAAAAGAATTCCGGAAAACAATACAGAGAAACTAGAAAAACTATTCAGTATATGAATGAAAGCTTCAACAAAGAGGTAGCTATTTTTAAAAAGAGACAAACAGAAATCTGCTGTTAAACAATCCATCGAATGAAATTCAAAATACATTTAAAGCCTTCAGCAAGAGACTAGATCAAGCAGAAGCAATAATCCCAGAACTTGAAGACAAGTCTTTTAAAATAGTCTAGTCAGACAAAAATAAAGAAAAAAAGAATAAAAAAGAATGAGACTATTATGAGCAACTATATGCTTACAAACTGGAAAGTCCAGAGGAACTTGATAAAGTGTTGGAAACATATCACCTACCAAGATTGAATCAAGGAAAAATAAAAAATTTGAATAGACCAAAATGAGTAGTGAGATTGAGTCAGTAACAAAAGTCTCCCAACAAAGAAAAAAACAAGGACTGGATGGATTTACAACCTAATTATATCAAACATATAAATAAGAACAAATGCCAATTCTGAAACTATTCTAAAAATTTAAAGAGAAGTGACTTCTTCCTTACTCATTTTATGAGGCCATAATTACACGGATACCAAAACTAGACAAGGATGCAACATAAAAAAGAAAACTACAGGCCAATATCCCTGATAAACCTGGATTTGAAATCCTCAACAAAATATTAGCAAATGGAATCTAACAGCACATCAAAAAGATAATACACCATAACCAAGTGAGGTTGATACCAGGGATGCAAGGATGTTTCAACAAATGCAGGTCAATCAACATGATACATCTAATCACCAGAATGAAGTACAAAAACTGTATGATCATCTCAATAGAAACAGAAAAGGCATTTAACAAAATTTAATATCCCTTCATAATAAAAACTTTCAATAAACTAGGAATAGAAGGAATTTATCATAAGATAATAAAGACATTTGTAACAAACCCACAGCTTACATCATACTGAATGAGAAGAAACTGAAAGCTTTTTCTCTAAGATCTCGAACAAGACAAGGCTGCTCACTTTCACTACTCCTACTCAACATATTACTGAAAGTCCCAGACAGAGCAATCAGCCAAAAGAAGGAAATGAAACGTATCCAGATTGGAAAAGAAGAAGTCAAATTGTCCCTCTTTGTTGATGATGTGATCTCATATCTAGAAAAACTTAAATTATCCACCAAAAACCTTCTATATTTGATAAATGAATACAATAAAGTTGCAGGATACAAAATCACCATACAAAAATCATTAGTATTTTTATAAATTAATAATGAGCTATCCAAGATAGAAATCAAGAAGCAATCTCATTTACAATAGTTACAAAAAAATACCTTGGAATAAACTTAACCAAAAAAGTGAAAGATCTATACAAGGAAAATTACAAAACACAGATAAAAGAAACTGAAGAGGACAGAAACAAATGGAAGGACATCCCATGTTCATGGATTGGAATAATTATAATCAAAATAATATTGTTAAAGTAACTATACTTCCCAAAGCAATTTATACATTCAATGCAATCTCTATCAAAGTATCAATGACATTCTTCACAGAAAATAGAAAAAAAATCCTAAAATTAATATGGAACCAAAAAAAAAAAAAAAGAAGCCAAATAGCCAAAGCAATCCTGAGCCAAGAGAAGAAATGAATCATGCTGGGAGCATCACACTGCCTGACTTCAAAATGTACTATAAGGCCATGGTAACCACAACATCATGGTGTTGGTGTAAAAACAGACACAAAGAATAATGGAACAGAATAGAGAACATAGAAATAAATTCATTTATTTACAGGAAATTGAATTGATAAATGTGCCAAGAACATACACTGGGGAAAGGTTACCCCTTTCAATAAGTGGTGCTGAGAATATTGGACCTTCATATGCAAAAGAATGAAACTAGACCCCATGTCTTCCCACATACAAAAATTAAACTCAAAATGGATTGAAAACTTAAATGTAAGACCTGAAAGTACAAAACTCCTGGAATAAAACAGAAACAAAACATTTTAAAACATCAGTCTAGGTAAAGAGTTCATGGCTAAGACCTCAAAAATACAGACAACTGCAATAAAAAGAGACAAATGGAACTACATTAAACTAAAAAGCTTCCGTACCTCAAAGGAAATAATCAACAGAGTGAAAAAACAACTTGTTGAATGAGAGAAAATATTTGCAAACCATTCATCCAACAGGGGAACAACATCTGGAATATACACCAGGATCTCCAATAACTCAACAGTAAATAATAAGCAGCATCATCATCCCATTAAAAATTGCCTAAAGAAGTGAATAAGCATTTCTCAAAAGAAGCATACAAGTGGTCAGGAGGTGAAAAAATGCTCAACGTCATTGTGGATCAGGGAAGTGATAAAACTAAAATAAGACACCATCTTATCTCAGTAGATGTCTGTTATTAAAAATCAAAAAATAACAGATGCTGGTGAAGGTGCAGATAAAAGGGAATTCTTATACACTGTTGGTGGGAATGTAAATTAGTACAACCATGCTGGAGAACATTTTGGAAGTTTCTCAAAAAGCTAAAAATACAACTACCACATGACCCATTAATTCTTCTATTGGGTTTTTATCCAAAAGAAAAGAAATCTGTGTATGAGATACCTTACTGGCATATTTATTGCTGCAAATAGCAAATATATGGAATCAAACTAAGTGTCCATCGACAGATGAATGTATAAACAAATGACACACACACATACACACACACACACACACACACACAAATACAAAGAATATTATTCAGACATAAAAAGAATGAAACCATGTGTTTTGCAGCAACATGGATGGAACTGGAGGTCATTATGTTAAGTGAAATAAGCCAGATACAGAAAGACAGATGCCACATGTTCTCACTCATCTGTGAGAGCTGAAAAGAATTGATCTCATGGAGACAGAGAATAGAATGACAGTTACCAGAGGCTCGGAAGGGTGTGTGGTTGGAAGGCAGTGATAAAAAGAGGTTGATTAGTGGTACAAACAGAGTTGAATAGAAAAAATAAGCCCTAATTTGCAATAACAGAGTAGAGTGGCTATAGTTAGCAATATTGTATATTTTAAAGTAGCTAGATGAAAGGACTTGAAGGGTCAATGACATATATAAGTGATAAATACTCAAGGTGATAGATACTCCCAAATACCCTGACTTGATCATTGATTATTATATATTCTATGCATGTAACAAATACTCACATGTACTTCATAAATATGTAAAATATTTTATATCAAAGAAAAACATGTAAAATATCTTGTATAAATTAAAAGGTGTCCAGGGTACAAGAGTATATTAATTACATACATATGGTATATGCAACATGTTTTATATGTTGCAGGAGGAAGTAATGTAGAAAATGGCAGAGAGGCAATATTTTAAAAGACGATGTCTAAGAATTATCCAGAATTGATGAAAGACAACAATCCTCAGATATAGGATTCCCAAGGAACCCCAAATGGTGTATATAAAAACAAATTCAAACCTAGACTCATTATAGAAAAAATGAAGACCATCAAAATAAAGAGAAGACCCTGACACCATCAGAGAAAAAAAAGGCAACTTACAGATAACAACTATTAGACAGCTAACTTTTCAACAGCACCATGGAAGGTAGAAGACAGGGCAATATTAACTTTGATGCACTCAGAGAAATTAGCTGAGAAACTGGAATTGTACATTCGGTGAACTATCTTTTAAGACATAAACAAACTAAAAATATTATAAGACAAACTGTAAGAGCTTACTACCAACAATTTCTCACTGATAATATTTCTACAGGATGTACATCAAGAAAAAAGATAATAAACCTAATAGAGAAGACTTGGAGAAAATTAACACTAGTGCATAGTAGAAAATAGTACATAAACATGGGACTTTATAAAAGAATAATGATCATACCTAATTTGTGTGGTTAAAAAATTCAAGGCAGAAACCTGTAGTCCCAGCTACTTGGGATCCCTTCAATGCGAAGTTTGAGAGTATAGTGTACTATGGTTATGCCTGAGAATAGCCATTGCACTCTAACCTGGGCAACATAGTGAGACTCCACCTCTAAAAAAAATCAAGACAGAATTGAAATCCTGGACAAAATTATCTTTATGTTGTGATGGTATTCATCAAAAATAAAGCATTACTTTGTGTTGAATGTAAACATATTGCTTAACTTTGAAGTATAAGTTACATATATATATGTTAAATTTTTTTCCGGAATAACTATTAAAAGAATAGAAAATAAGTGCATAAGGTCCAAAACAGGACAGGGAGAAATTGTGGAAAATTGGGAAAGGGAGGCAAGAATAGTAATATCAATCAGTCAAAAAGAAAGCAAGAAAGAGGAAGAAAAACATACGTAGACGATGTGGGTTACAGGGAAAGCACAAAATAAGTTCAGTATCTATGTCAATAACTATGCTCTCTAAAAGGTAGGATTATCTGATTGTATTAATAATACACAGTTTAAGTATATACTGTTTGTAAAAGACACAACAAAAACAAAAACAAAACAAAACAAAACAAAACTCAGAAAAGCTGAAAGGAAAAGGCTGACAGGCAAATCATCAGGCAAAAACTAACCAAAAGAGAGCTGGTGTAATTTTATTATTATTGGACAAAATAGATATTAGGGAAAAACTTAAAAATAAAAAAAATTGCAAGAGTCTCTCATTCTCCAACATAAATACAATTAATTACAAAACAATAACAAATATATGAGCATATTTTTAACAAAATTTTAAGTAACTCACAAGTTAAAAAGCCATTTTAGTAGAAATAAGGTTCTAAAAACTAAGCCATAAATATTTACTTATGAAATTGTGGGACATGGCTAACATGTATTTAGAGGGAAATTTACAAGCTTAAGAGCTAATGTTACACAAGAACTATATAAGTTGACAGAAAAACAAAATAAATTCAAAGGAAGTAGAAAACGGAAATACAAAAATATACATAGCTACTATTGAACTAAAAAGGAAGCCTACAACAGAGGATCAACTAAGCCAAATGTTTGAATTTCTAATAAAAAGATTAATTTTAGAAGGTATCTAAATAACATTACATAGATGATCCAATTATCATTATTAAAATTTTGAATCAGCATTTTAACATAGTTTCAAAAAAAGAATCAAGGCCTTTCAGCTTTACCAAAAATTTCAGAAAAAATAAAACTTTTTTGGAAAATAAGATTCAGTGCCAAATTCATTTTTATTTTAGTATACCATAATGAAGTTGGATTTATTACAGGAATGCATTTTTTGTTCAATATGATACAATTGATTATTGCAATTTACTAAGAAATAGATTAAAGGAGAAAAACATATCTTCTCGATAGATTCAAAAAACTATCTGTTATAATTTAATAAGCATATTGATTTAAAAAAACACTTCAGCAAGGTAGGAGGAAAAGAAAATGTCCATGTGTTGATAAAGAAGACCTGCAACAGCCACAGCAAAATATCATATTTGATGTCAAAATGTTAAAATGTTTCATCCTGAAGTCAGTAATAAGGATGTCTACTCAGCGTTATGATGGTGGTCCTAGCAACACCTAGGTTATCAGGATGAATAGTGTCCTCCCAAAGTTCATGTCTAACCGGATCTTTAGAATATGACATTATTTGGAAATATGGTCTTTGCAGATGTAATTAGTCAAGGATATTGGATGAAATTACCCAGGATTTGGGGTAGACCTTAAATCTAATGACTGATGTCTTTATTAGAGAAAAAAGAAGGAGATTTGGACCCAGGAGAAAAAGACAGAGATTGGAGTGAGACTGTCACAAGCCAATGAATGCCAGGAGCCACCACAGCTGGAAAATGCAAGGAAGGATTCTCTCCTAGAGCCTTTGGAGAGAGCATTGATTTTCTGATAGCTCAATTTTGGACTTCTGGCCTCGCAGCCTGTGGGAGAATACATTTCTGTTGTAAACTGCCAAGTTTACAGCAATTTGTTATGGCAGCCCTAGGGCACAAACACAACCAATAAGAAGGGGGGAAAATAGAGGAAAATAATTACAAAAGAAGAAACAGGCAGTCATTGTCCACTGATGATAGGATAGTGTACTAGAAAACTTCAACCTATATATAAATCATTTATAGAAGGTCAAAAGCAAAATTCTCTTAAAGAAGAACTGGGTACTGGTGGAAATAAGAAATGTATTAAATCTATAGCAAATTTAAAAGTGTGATAATGGTGAAGGGATATACAAAGAGATTAATGGAACAAGATTAAAAGTCCCCAAAAAGTATGTAAGAACTCTGATCAATCAGTTGGGAAAGACTGCAGTATTCAATAATGTTTAGATAATAATAGGTTATTTGTGTGAAAAAATGAAATAAATCCCTATTTGGTATCATAAATAGCAATAAGTTCCAGATGGACTAGTACTCAGTGTGAAATGCAAAACCTTTAAAACTTTTATAAGAAAATATCTTCATGAACTGTAATGAATGATTCCTTAAGTCAGGAAAAAAGCGAAATAGAAAAAGAGATCTATTTGAATATATTAAAATGTTTAAAATTATAAACTAAAAACACCCGAAAATGAGTAATTCTTTCAGACATAAGACATAAGTCAAATGTTGGAAAACAATATTTATGACAAATATAATTGGCAAAATATTAGTATAATGAATATGTAGAAATACCTATGCATTAATAAGAAAAATGCAAATAATTAAATGATATTATTTTCAATAAAAACACAAATAGACTTCCCACAGAAGAAGAAACATGAATGGATCTCAAATATGAAAAAAAGATTCCCAAGCTCATTAGGAAAAAGGGAAAGTGCAAATTAAAATCACAAAATGATGCCATTTTATATCCTCCTGATTGGCATAAATCATGACAACACCAACTTCTCATAATACACGGCTAATATAAATGTAAATTACTTTAACCAATTTTGGAAACTAGTTTTCTGTTGCCAACTAAGGTTGGTTATATATATATATCCTGTGACTCAGCAATTTGACTCTTACCTAAAAACACTAACAAATCCTTTACACAGGTTATATGTATGGGAATATTCATGGCATTATTGTCTGTAATAGCAAATAATTAGAAACAATCAATAATGCTAGCCAACACTAAAATGGAGAAATAAATATTTATTTTTATTGTATTGCAATGAAAGCAAATCATGACATCTATAAATATCACCATACCAGTTAAACATGATGAGTGAAAACAAAACCAAACAAACATAAACAAAGAATCACTAATGAGTGACTACCACAGATCTTTTTTCCAAAATTGATGTCTTTGTTGGTTTTTATCGCCTACTCACCCTATTTGAACCTCTAGTACAGCGTTGAATAGAAGTGGCCAGAGTGGATATCCTTGTGTTATTCCTGATCTTAAGGGGAAAGTTTGAATGTCTTGTTTTATTTTCAATGATCTCAAAATATTCTCTAATTATCCATGTATTTTCTTCTTTGATCCATGTGTTCCTTAGGAATTTTGGTTAATTTCCACGTATTGGTTTTCCTTCTGCTATTGCTTTCTAGCTTCATCCCACTGTGATAGGATAAGATACCTTGTATGATTTCAGTCTTTTTTTTATTTATTGAGACTTATTTTGTGGCCACCATGTGGTCTATTCTGCAGAATGTTTCACGTGCATTTGAGATGAACATGTATTCTGCTGTTGTTGGGAGCTGTGTTCCAGAGATGTCAGGTAGGGTTAGTTGCTTTTTTTTTTTCCACCTTTGTGAAGAAAATATGTTTATATACTAAGGATTATGAATCAATGGAAATAAACAGTTGAAAAATAAAAGACAGAGGGAGAGTAATTAATGTTGAAAAATACCCAAGCAAGTGGGGGAAGCATGTAGAATATAGTACAGAAGGAGGCATCCACCTTGTGAAGGAAGAGATGAACTTTTTCCTTCAGTAATGCAGGGAAGTAAATGGAAATGGATTAAGAATGTATGTAAGATTGTTGGTTTGTAGGACCAGAAAGCTCAGTGTATGCAGTTGTTCAACTCTTTTTTCAAGCTATTGAAATCAAAATACGTGATAAAATTAAAAAGCCTTTGGGAAATTTCTAGCTTTGAAAATATTCACTGTACTATATAATAAGTACTAGATGGGAAGTGAAAATAGCCCTATTTTTTTAAAAAAAGATTTTAAAAGTCTAATGCAGATAACTTCGATCTCAGATTTCTTTTTCTTTGTGGTGGGGCTGTAATTTTATGTTAGCGATCAAATACCAGAGAGTGAGGGAAGTCTTCCTTCTTCCTGCCCAGGCCCCACCTTATATTTACTGTGGGGTGATTTTCAGAGGGAACGTTCATATTTGTCCATTTATCTCTCACTTTGTGTTTATGCATTTTTTTAAATAGAGTGCTGCCCCTTTGTCCCTTCATTTAGAACCTATTTTAAACAAATTATATACTTTTACAGATGTATTCTAAACTTGTTTCAACCCACAAAGATGACACTTGTTCGTTTCTGTGAAAATTTCAAATCACATTGTTTGTGATTTGTGATTGAACAGCTACACGTAGACATATGAAAAGGCAGGAGACAGGTATCAACAGAAAAACTGGCTTTCTCATCATTCACAACTAACCTGTGAATGAGGTGCTACAAAGTTTCAAACTTTATCCTGAAGTCAATGAAGTAGTATTAATGATAAAATTTGAGGTTATTGAATCAGTCTTGATGGCTGTGTTATATAAGAAAGACAGAGATATATGTGTTATTTTCAAAACTTTATATTACTTTGTCCCTTGCCTTATGACTCAGGGACATAGCAACAACAAAGATTTCTTGTCTTACCTGAGAAAATTATTCATATCAGTATTATTTTCCAGGATACATGATACTGAGCTAACTATTGGAGGAATGAAGACATAGAGCATATAAAATTCCATAACCGATCTGGAAAGACAGTTTAAATGTATTATTGGGTAATTCCTCATGATGTCGAAGATAATGTCTTCCATGAATGTATTATCTATGTGGTCATAAATACCTGATGAGACTTAGCTGGGTATGACTGACTAGGATATATCCTGGGTAGCAGATATAAGAAGTTTATTAATTTGCCAGACAGGGAGCTATCTTAGCTGAATTTCCTTTTTTGTTATTATTGACATTAGATTTCAACATTCTGAATCTTTTCCCCTCAATTCCCTTTTCAACAGTAGAGATATTTTAAAACAGCAGTGACCCTTAGTCGGTCTGGAATATGCTACAGTTAATTTCATTTATTTAAATTGGTCTTGAGGACATCCTTGAAGATTGAACATCATGAAACATGCAAAGAATCATGAAAAATGTTGGTGGAACTTCATAGTTGAGGAGTAGCTTCCATGGTGTTTCTCCTCAGCTGATAGATTAGGAAATGAGATTTTAAAAAAGATAATATAAAGGAAGTGTATGTTTTTTGACTTTATTTTTGAACAGTAGCTATCAAAAGGGAGTCCTTTTTGATTATCTAAAAAATACTTCAATTCCAAAATAACCCATTAACAACAGATGTGAGTACTAAAGAAGAGACAAGCAAACAACAAAATCTTTACCGATAAAAATAACAATGGAAAATCTTAGAAAGAGGTGATCTTGATGATTTTCTCTTAAAAACACCTCCCTTGGATTCCATGACTTCTGCAGTAGGCTCTTACATACTTCCCAAAAGAGATTTCCCATCATAATGTCCCAATGTGATAAGTTTAATTATTCTAGATTTTTAAAATCAGCTTTTCATAGAAATTTAGAGATGAAATGGACCTTATAGATAATATTGTCCAGAGTGCAAAATCATCATTTGCATTCTTCTTTTTCCTGGCAATGATTCCAATTAACTTCAGATGTATTATTTTTCATCTCCTTGAAAGCTTTGCTACCATAATTAGAAAGGACTTCAAGGTGGAATGCCCAGTGGTGCAATACCTTACTGTGTGCTACTACACGTCTTTTTTTAAAGTATTATTTTATTCAAATCTAGCTCAGGTATATGTTGGTAAATTCAAGAAATATAGTCTATTAATCATTGCTTTGTAGTAAGCATAATCTTTTGTTGCATCATAAGCAGCTGTTCATTCCTGTACCAGAATAGAAGCAATAACTTGTTTCACTAGGCTCTACACTTTCTTCAGACCTAATTACTATCCGTACATCAATGCTCTCAGCCTTACCCTGGGCTTTCAAGGCATCTTGTGATTTCTTAACCTACATGGCAAAAATTCTGTCCAGCCAGGATACTTTGTTATACCTTTAATGCTGTGTGAGATGTTTTGGAGCTTCTGTTTTAAACACTGTATTAATGATTTAGTAATTGTTAAATGACTTTTCCAATAAAATTTGAAGTCAGTGATTTAAGGGCTCTTATTTTATCTTTGTGGCACTATCCAGGTCTGTTACAGGTCAGAAACCAACTGACTATTCCAGTACTTTTGAATAAAATAAGGAAGGAAGAGTTGATAGTGGAAAAAGTTTTACTTCAAAAATATATTTTAATGGAAAAAAAATCACAATCTTTGTCAGCCTTGCCTTTGACATCTACCACAAATATGTATTGACCATACTAATTTTAGCCTAATTCTCAGGTTAAAGAAATGATTTTTAATATCTCTATTTCCCAGAGCAAAATTTATTGAGTTTAATAAACATTAATAATGAAGGGTCAGGAATGGTGGCTCATACCTGTAATCCCAATACTTTGAGACACCAAGGTCGGAGGATTGCTTGAGCCCTTATCTTTCTAGTCTAAACCCACTTGACAATTAGCTGTTCAGAGTTCTAAGTTGAGCCTGCTTTTAAATTGGGTGTGAAAGGTGTAACTGGAAAATTGAATATGTAAAAGCAAGAGACTGAGAAGTTAAATTCAGGCTGCTCATAAGTCTAGCTTATTTTGTTCCTAAAGGTGCCTTATGTTGTTGTTGCAGAAGGTAATCATTACATTGCCTTGGTTCTATTCCACATGGAAAATATTTTGCATGAAGTTCTTGTCTGGAAGTAACACCTGGTACCATGCAACTGATTTTGGCACATATCAACCAATTTGATTTATTCTTCTAAGGCACATTACTTTTCTACTGGGAAGTGACCAGGCAAGTGTTCAGCAAGAATACTTATGGAGAGCAGTATGATAGTAAAATATAACTATGCTGAAAAGAACTAACATAACAGGTCTGTTATCCTTAAAAAGGCCTGTTTACAAGGTTGGTTCTTGCTGGCACCTAGAAACTTGAATTTCAGGAGAGTTTTAATACCTTAACTGATACAAGTGGCTCACTGTACCTAAATGGTTTGTGCAAACAATATGGCTTATGTTCAGGCCAGGCGCCATGGCTCATGCCTGTAATTCCAGCACTTTGGTAGGCTGAGGCAGGCAGATTGAGGTCAGGAGTTCGAGACCAGCCTGGCCAACATGGTGAAACCCCGTCTCTACTGAAAATACAAAAGAAAAACAAAATTAGCTGGGAGTGGTGGCACGCGCCTGTAGTCCCAACTACTCAGGAGGTTGAGGCATGAAAATTGCTTGAACCTGAGAGGCAGAGGTTGCAGTGAGCCAAGACTGCACCACTGCACTCCAGCCTGGGTAACACAGCAAGACTCCATCTCAGAAACACAACAAAACAAAAACCAATATGGCTTATGTTCAATACCTGCTTTCCTTCTGGGAGTCTGCAATTTTGGTATATGCTAGGCAGAAGGTACCCATCTGATCACCCCCCATAAAAAACCCTGGGCCTGAGTCTCTAATTAGCTTCCCTGGGAGGCAGTGCTTCACAAGTGTTGTCACAACTCATCCCTGGTGGAGTTAAATAGATCCTGTGTCACTCTGCTGGAAGAGGACTCTTGGAAGTTTGTGTCTGGTTTCCTCTGGCTTTTAACCAAAGTGCCCTTCCCATTACTGATTTTGCTTTGTCCTTTCAGTGTAATAAATCACAGCTGTGAGTCAGATTATATGTTGAGTCCTGTTAGTCCTCCTAGTGAGATTAAATCTTGTAGGTGACTTTGGTGACCCTCATGCACTAACAATAATTATACTAGCTAAACTGTACCACATTTACTCTGTTCTAGGCACTGTTCTAAGAACATTATATACATGAACTCATTAATTCCTCACTCCAACCTTATGACATGGATACTATTGTTAATATACCCATTTTAATTATGAAGAAACCAAGGCACAGAGAAATACCTTGCCTATCTATGGTAAGTTACAGATCCGAAATAATAAAACAGCAACTATACAAAAATCTGGAGGGAGAATGCTCAAATCAGTAAGCCACAGACTTTAAGTTTTGCCTAATTTAGCTCAGTGTCTGGCTAATGATGGGCAGCTTAAATATAAATTTTATTTTTTAAAATTAAAAGTGAACAAACAAATAATGTGATTAGATTTGTCTATGCAGTTACTACTATGAGAACTCCAGGTTGTTACTCTCGACAGTGATTTCTTCATATCTTTCAACATTTGATTGGTAAATGGTTTTCTACTACACAGCCCATACACCTATGGTTTTTCCCTTGTGCAAAATGATAGTTTCCTTCTTAGACTGCACTATTGGGGCAATAATAAGAGAAAGGAAAGCCTGGAAATGTAATTTAAACTCTTTGGATTGATTCATCTCTTTTCTACACAATTGTCTCCATTATCTCTTTTCTATGTCATTATTTAAATTAAGAATTTTATTTAATATTTATCCATGAATAAAAGCAATAGTTTTGTCCAAACAAAATTATTTGCATCTGCTGGACCTACAGTTCTCACCCTTATACATGTCATTTTATTCTTGATGTAATCCAGTTTTTCCACCCATAACCTTAAGAGGGTGGGCAAGGGAAGAAGGCAAATTTGAGTAGATTTATATAAATGGTGAGTCAACTGACAATTTATTCTTAGATCACTAAGTCCAGAAGTCCAGAAACCAGCTCTCTGTTAAAATGTTCATAGAAAATGCATATACATAGAATGAAAACTCTCCAAAAAATGAGAGTGAAAGTATTATGAGGAAAAGGATATTTACAGAGTCTCCCAGTAACTCCCCTCAAGGTACTTACAAATTACACTGTGAAAAATAAGAACCTTTTAGTGGTGGGACATGGTGGATAACCCTTAACTAAGTAATCATGTTAACATCACTAGTAGGGAGACAAAAAGACTTCTATGTCTTTTGCTATGATGCAATGAGCAGGACACAGTATCACTTTTAAGATATTCTTGCCAGAAATGCATAACTTGAATCTCCTCAGGAGTGTTCATCAGGCAGACCCAAAGTGGGGGACACTCTACAAGATAACTACATGCTTCAAAAATGCTAAAATGTTAAAGACATGAACAATAAATAATTTCTGATAGACTGCTCCAGACCCAAAGAGACTAAACAGCTATGACGATTATATGAAGCATATAATCTTGGGCTAGATCCTAATCTGAGAAATGAAAAAATAAAAGCTATGTAGTTCATTAGTGGGGCAACTGGTAAAATTGGAATGAGATTGGTATATTAGAAATCATATTGTATCTATATTCATTATTTTCATAATTGTGCTGTGGTTATAGTCTTAATTTTAGGAAATAGGCTCAGAAATATTTAGGAGTGTCTGCAACTTGCTCTAAAGTGTTGTTAAAGCTAATGTATTATAGGGGTGATGAGTGAGAGAGAGAGAGAATAAGGCCAACTTGCCAATATGCTAACGTGGGAATTATGGATGAAGGCTGTGTAGTTATTCTTTGTACTACTTTCGCAACTTTCTGTTAGTCTGAGATTAATTCAAAATTTATACTTTAAATAAACAAGATCAGAGTCGGAAGGGGCTCTAGAGTTAGAGGAAAACTCTGAAGCTGAAGAAAAAAATATACAAAAAATCATTTACACTCTTAAACCACTTTCTCCATCAGCCAGGCTACCCATACTTACCGAGTGCCTGCTCTGAGCCAGGCATTCTTCTATGTGCTTGACGTATACATGTGTGAACAGAACGACAAAGATCCCAGCTTTGTTGATATGTATATTATTCCAGTGGGAGAAGATAGGCAAAAACAAAAAACAAAATTTTATAGTGTATTTGAACTGGAAAATAAATATAAAGAAAAATAAAAAATAGATTAAAACAAGTGAGCTCAAGTGGGTAGGGAGAAGGCTGTGGTTATTGTTGTAATGGCTGCCTGTCTGGGCAACCCTTTGACCTGTTCCTCAGCTAAACCCTCCACATTTCAATGAGACCTCTATTCAGTTGAGATCCACAGTGTGACAGTACCTTTGCCGTGCTATAACCACAGCCACCCAGACAGCAGGATGACTCACCTAGGTTTGGCTGAGGGCTTGTTCCCTTTCCACAAAAACCAATTTTTACTTTTGTGGAAAATATGACACATAGCAAGAAACACAGCATTATTTCTCTTACACTAACAAGCACTGAGATTTGGTAAAAGTTATACAGGTGAGCAAAATTTCCAGTTATTTTCCAAGATCTTTTGAGAGAAATATTCTAGAGTTTTATACTTCGATCACTTCACCGTCCTATTCTCAAACCTTCCACTCCTGCAGCCAGCCTGTCTTACATTTGGGACAACTTGAGTTTCTGAACAGGAAAAGTTCACCCCCAGGTCCCGAGACTTCTCACCTTCCCAAGAAGGAAGCCCCAATTTAGTTGTTCAGCTGACCCAGCTTCAAGTCAAACTTGTTGCCTTTTATGCTCTAAAGCCATACCCAAGTTTTAGTTTACAGTGTTTGCTCTATTCTTAGACCTTGTACCAAAGTTCCTCCCACCCGGCCTTACTCAAGGCAGTGGAGGCCTCTCTGTGCCTGGTGTACTCGGAGCAGATACTTCTTCCCTTGAAAGGCAGACTGACTTAATAGCAGCAAGAAATGCTATTTACTACATGTTTAGTATGTGCCAGGCACGTATTAAGTTATTTCTTCTGTGATGTGGGTGCCTGATTATCATTGTTTTGTGCACAAAGAACACAAGGAAGGGAGTCCTAGAGGGAGCGAGTTGGCCAAGCTGCTGTTGCATTGGGGTTGAAATCTGGCAGTCTGCTCCAGAACTGGACCATCTCCTTCGAGCTGACTTCAACGTCCCTGGATTTCCGTGTGATGATCCTTCCAGTTTGTCTTTTTCTGTGCCCATTTGCTGCTTCACTCACCCCTTGCTAGATTTGCACAGATGTCCACCCATGATTGCTCTTCATTCTCTTTGGAAACTGCTATTTGATGGTGGAGGTTTCTCCTGGAGCCTGTTCCCTAGCACTTTATACACCCCAGATTCTCCTGGATGTCTTCAATTTAACTTCTAAAAGACAATATAATAAAGTACATCTTCTTAGAACCAATGTCTACTCTCTGCCACCTTATCTAAAGCTCTATGAACTAGGCAAATTAGTCAATCTTGTTATTTCAAAAGTAGTAGGTGATACTCTCTCATCAAGGTGGAGTAAAACTAATAAATCTAATGTACAATAGCTTTCATGTGGCTCCAGGATGTTGTTGAAATTTAATCTCTGTTACATTGTGTGTGGGTTTTTTTTTAATCACTACTTGGTGCTTAGAAAATTGCATTTATATATTTGTAATACATAGGTCTGTAATGGAATTATGTTACATATTACTCTCTGGATCTTAAGGGGACACTTTTTTTTCCCTTACACTCATAATGATTTTGTCGGCAATTTAAAAAATTTAAGATGGCTTAAGAACCAAAGTTGCTACCAAGCCAGCTTTCCCCACCAGCACACCAGCAGGATGCCAACAAATTGCATCAGGAGTGACTCACTTCGGGGAAATTATTCTCAACACCAGAAGGATACACACTTTTCCAAGATGGCATTTAACCATTTCTGTTGGGGTAGGGTGCAATGTGATTCCTCTGGATATTCCAGTGTACTCCTTCAACTAAATGTGAGCAGATATTTCTTGCCTTGAGGGAATTTAGCAAAATCTGGATGAGAGTGGGTACAATTTGAAAAGCCCTTGAGTTACTCTGATGCCCCCTATACATCCCTGAACACACTCCAGGGGTGGACACTGACCAGCTGAAAAATCATTGCACATTATATGTATATAGAAGAGCAGTTAAAATTTTTTTTCACTCCTACCATCTACTTGATAAATGAGCATCCAAATTATGTCAGCCTAATGTTGAAAAGATTATAGCAGTTATATGTGGTTCTCTTTTAAATTCATGTCTTTGATATCTTGGCACTCTAATAATGTATTCTCTTTCCTAAAACCATTTTACAATCAACTGATAATTAATTTTCCAAAAAGATTTCATCATTTTACAGATTTTTTTACTTTACTACCTGTAGAGCAACCAATAAGATTATGTGAAGATACCAAAAACTGTATGATCTTGTCACATAATGAAGTAATATATTTATCTGCCATTTTAAATATTCAGATTTTATACATATATATGTATGTGTATATATATATATTAAAAACTCAACTGGCTTACATATATAACATATATAAATGATATTTCAGTATATTTGAAAATACATGGCACTGTGCTTGGAATGAAGTAAATATCAAATAAATATTTTCTCTTTTCTTTTCTCTGTAAATGGAATTGGAGAAGGGTAATTGAGAATATTATACATGTGGTTCTGTTCTACTGATTCAAGAAGAGAATTGAAGGGTGTGAATATCTTTATTAGGTCTTCAGAATGCTAAGTACACAAAGATGATGATGATGAGGGAGGAAGCCAGATGAAATAAGGCTGTGAAAAGTCAAGGAGAACCCCCAATAATGTGTGTATGGAAGAATAGTTAACTTCAGGCCACCTGACAATTCAAAATGATCATAGCTCTCTCCTTTCACTGAAACCTAGGATAAATGAAAGAAACTCGTATTTACTGAGCAACTTCTACATGCCAGCCTTCGTTAGATACTTTTCTTAGCTTATTTCTTTTAACCCCCATAAGAATCCTATGAAGATGGCGTTAGTAGCCCTGTTTGGCAGAAAAGTGAGGTTCAGAGAAATTGGGAAACATTCAAACACAGTTTTGGGGTTTCCTCTGTGGTGTGTCTGCTTTAAAAGTCCAAAGTCCCTGCTCTGTCTATTGTGCTAATGCAGGGTCGGGGGTTGCGGGGGAGCTCTTGGCGGGGAATGGTTTCCAGATGAAACTGTTCCACCTCAGATCATCAGACATTAGAGTCCCATAAGGAGCAGCAACCTAGATCCCTCCCATGCCCAGTTCACAATAGGGTTCGCACTGATGTGACACGAGGTGGAGCTCAGACGGTCATGCTAGCTGGCCCCTGCTCACCTCCTGCTGTGTGGCCCAGTTCCTAACAGGCCTTGGACCAGTAATGGTCCTCCCCGTGGGGGACTCGGGGGTTCTAATGCACCTCACTGAACATGCACTTTTTCAGCAGAGATGGGGAGGTAAGAGCATAGCCCATTGAGCCCAAGTCTCTGACCAGATACAAGGCACAGCCTGAAGGCGGAGCGCTTCACCCCTGACCTAGTTAGCTTTTTCTCCAAATTCATGATATACTCTGTAAGCAAATACATGCACAAGCATAAATATAGCAACTGTCTCTAGTTCTAGCCTTATAAGCTTTGGTAATCTTTTCTGTTGCCCAACCCCTGAGAAACCCCTGTGTGAGTCAGCAGTATCAGGTTTGGTCTATCACAAACCTCCTGGCCCCATCCCTTCTTCAATTTGCCTAAAAGGCCCACCGTAAACAGTTCTGACCCTGTGCTCTGGAAGGAATTGTATCTGGCCAGCTATCCACAGTGGCGTTGTCCTACAACACTTTAAGTAGGTTTTTTCCCACTTCTCTGTTCACACTGTTTTGACCTTCTGCAGATGGTCACGACATTTTCTTTTTATGGCTAGGTACGTGCAGAGTTGCTGACAGGCTTTCCAATTTGTCATCTATTTCTAAAGACTGTGATGATTTCTTGTTTGAGATTTTTTTAAATTTACCATTGAACCGTTCCTAAACAAGATAACTATGAATTCTATAGTTACTTGAGCATGAATGTGAAAAGGTAAGAAAACAGTAATTACTAAACAAATGACTTAAATGATTGGCAACTATGCCAGTGTATATTGCTGTGCACAAATAACCGAAATATATGTTCATCAATGTATTAGTTTTTTGTTGTTGTAACAAATTATCACAAATGTAGTGATTTGAAACAACACAAATTTATTATCTTACAATTCTGGACATCAGAAGTCTAAAATTAGGTTGGCAGGCTGTGTTCCCTCTAGAGGCTCTAGGGGACAATTTGTTTCCTTCCTGGCCTTTTCCAGCTTCTAGAGGTTGCTGGAAACCTGGCTCATGGCCCTGCACCACTTCAACCTTGCTTCTGTTGTCACAGCTCCCTCTCTGACTTTGGCCTCCCTGTCCCCCTCTTATAAGGACCATTGTGATTACATTGGACATGGCCAGTAATCAGGTATAACTTCCTCATCTCAAGATCCTTAACTTAATCACAACTGCAAAGTCCCTTTGCCACATAAGGTAACAAACATATTAGCAGGTTCCAAGGATTTGAATGTAGATATCTTTGGGAAGATATTATTTCACCAAAAACAGAGTGAAAGAAAAGAAAATGGTATTTCTAGTTCTATATCCCTGAGGAATCAGCACGCTGACTTCCACAATGGTTGAACTAGTTTACAGTCCCACCAACAGTGTAAAAGTGTTCCTATTTCTCCACATCGTCTCCAGCACCTGTTGTTTCCTGATTTTTTAATGTTCGCCATTCTAACTGGTGTGAGATGGTATCTCATTGTGGTTTTGATTTGCATTTCTCTGATGGCCAGTGATGATGAGCATTTTTTCATGTGTCTTTTGGCTGCATAAATGTCTTCTTTTGAGAAGTGTCTGTTCATATCCTTCGCCCACTTTTTGATGGGGTTGTTTGTTTTTTTCTTGTAAATTTGTTTGAGTTCATTGTAGATTCTGGATATTAGCCCTTTGTCAGATGAGTAGACTGCAAAAATTTTCTCCCATTCTGTATGTTGCCTGTTCACTCTGATGGTAGTTTCTTTTGCTGTGCAGAAGCTCTTTAGTTTAATTAGATCCCATTTGTCAATTTTGGCTTTTGTTGCCATCGCTTTTGGTGTTTTAGACATGAAGTCCTTGCCCATGCCTATGTCCTGAATGGTATTGCCTAGGTTTTCTTCTAGGGTTTTTATGGTTTTAGGTCTAACATTTAAGTCTTTAATCCATCTTGAATTAGCCCAGCCATCTTATTACTGGGTATATACCCAAAGGATTATAAAACATGCTGCTATAAAGACACATGCACATGTATGTTTATTGTGACACTATTCACAATAGCAAAGACTTGGAACCAAACCAAATGTCCAACAATGATAGACTGGATTAAGAAAATGTGGCACATATACACCGTGGAATACTATGCAGCCATAAAAAATGATGAGTTCATGTCCTTTGTAGGGACATGGATGAAGCTGGAAACCATCATTCTCAGCAAACTATTGCAAGGACAAAAAGCCAAACACCGCATGTTCTCACTCATAGGTGGGAATTGAACAATGAGAACACATGGACACAGGAAGGGGAACATCACACACTGGAGCCTGTTGTGGGGTAGGGGGAGCGGGGAGGGATAGCATTAGGAGATATACCTAATGTTAAATGAAGAGTTAATGGGTGCAGCACACCAACATGGCACATGTATACATATGTAACAAACCTGCATGTTGTGCACATGTACCCTAAAACTTAAAGTATAATAAAAAAAATTAAAAAAAAAATGTTTGGAGTGTTAAATTAGTATAGAGATGATTAAAGACAGAAGCTGAATGTGCAGGCTCCATGTATACCCAACAGTGATATCACTATAGGCCAGTGATAGAAATGCAGTATTAGTAAAATATGAATGGGAAAATATAAGAATAGATTGTGCTGGCTCAAGTTTAATTAGATAGGCTAATTAAAACTCCCATCATGAGCATCTTTGATAAATTTCATGACAATAACTGAACTTGAAATGTCTGAGATGTGGCTCATGTATCATTATTGCAAGCTAAAATAATATGTACATATATCACACTCACCTATACACACATATATATATATATATACACATAAATATATATGCATATAAACATAAAATCAGTGTATTTATGCATATACATGTATGTATGCATTAGGAATACTCAAAATAGAAATGAAACTCCAAAGACTTCCTGAATTGTCTCCATCAGAAAATATAATCGATGCTGTTTTACCTGTGATGCAAACACTATCTCCTGCTGTTTTTGAAAAACAAAGGAGCTGCAGTGTTAGAAGTGTTCCAGCCTAGCCTGTCTACCTGCAGGTCTCACATATTCACTGCACTTGATTTACCAGCAGGTTGTTTAGTGAGAGCACATGTAACCTAGTGGACAAGACAATGCAATGTCATCAGAAACACTGAGCATTTAAAAATGTTTCAGTGGTCTAGCATGTATTAAGAAGTCACTGGACATATATGCCTGAAAACTTTCAGTTCATATTTATGTGGTTACGACTAATAAAGGGAGGAAAGGGAAAATAAGTGTGCCATTTAAAAAAGAATATAGCATATAAATACCTAAGACAAGGATTTCATAACAAAAGGGCAAGCTAACCTTACTAAATGCTGATTACCCAGTATATAATAGAAAAGGAAATAAAGCGTTTTTATAAAATGTATCAAATCCTAAGAGTGCTGTTAAACTCATTAAAGAAAAAATGAAGTTAGAGAAACTGGTCTTATTTTTTTTCACTCCCAGTAGAGTTCATTTCTACTTCAACAACTAAGCCAAGGTCACATTTAACTCACTTCAATTTCACCCAGTGCACAAGCTAATGTCAATAGTACAGCTGCCATGCAGAGCTAAAGACTGATGGTTAGACAAAGCCATTTACACAAGGCTGGGTCTTTCATCTTCTCTCAGCCAGTGACATAAGAAAGCACTGAGGTTATTCTCAACTAGAGACGAAAACTGGCGTATTAGAAAGAATGTTATTCTCCTTAGCTGTCACACAAAGGATATGAAGAAATGTAGAAATGTTTTTTTTTCTTCCCTCCCCCCTCCCTCTGGTCATCTGGGGAGATCACAAAGTGACTCTAATAGCCTTCACTCTGAAATTTTCACATGGTTTAAGTGATTGCCAAGTCTGATATTTTCCATTTACACTTCATTGCCATCAGAAAAAGAAAAAAAAATCAATATACCTACCTACTCAACTGTGTCACAGGATGAGCTTATAAAAGAAGACATCAGTCTTTTTAGGGCATGAAAAATATACTTATTCAAATATATCTTATTTAAAATGACATAAATTGCAGTGGTTAGTCAAGATTCGATTTCCTCTAAAATATAAGATTTAAAATATTCCTTGACTTGCCAGCAATCAGAATCCTTCAAATTGTTGATATATACAGATGTACTTGTTTTCTGATGTAAGTCATTCTGACTGTATTTTATTTTAGTGCATTAGTGACTACCTTTATTAATTTCACAGGACCTAAGGCACCTCATTTTATGAGACCACACCAGGTAGTCATTTTTTTTTTCCTTCTCAGGAAATAATTCTATTTTGAACCTTACTTTTCTATTGTATGGCTTTTTGCACTTTTATCTCTATGTCTTTGAAAAAATGAGGATGTTTCTTTATATTATTCTAATAATATTGTACATTAAGATTCTATTCTGTCTTAACTTGTTTTAACTATTAAACTTCTTTATGCAGAAAAGGTGTAATGAGTTCGGTGTAACATTTCAAGTGCTTTTGTTAAAATCAGAGGTAATTTTAACTGTCAAAGGAACATCCATGTCAGATTGGTCTTTCAATTAAAAGAAGTCTCATGTCAAATTTGAGTGCAATGACTGTGTGTTATATACATCTCTATGTTGTGGATATTTCAAAATCTTCCATTTCAGGAGCTCCTCTTTTGAAATATGGTGAAAGAGGGGGACTCTTGGTGGCTGTGCCCTAGATTTCCTGAGTGAATCACTCCTCGAGTGTCTTCCTCCCAGACACCTCACTGCGTGTGTATAGCATCATTATAGCAGGAAACCTAGAGGACCAATACAATGCTTTCAGGTTTAGACATACTTTTCAAATTCACCTGTCAAGGAGCTCTGAAACAGTGATGGAATCTTCACCTTCCTACTGTAGTGCCAACTGATACGTCTGCAGAGTTCTGTATTTGTTTATCTCTGATTTCCAGCCCCTACCTGCAAGATGAGAATGGTGCATGCCAACTAAAAAACAGAGACGAAGGAGGAGGAGGAAGAAGAGAATAAAAAAGCAAAATTCAGTGTCCGGGGTCACTCTTGGACTCAGTTCCCCGTGTGGCAATGCAACACACTAACAGTTTGAGTTACTGGGCCATCCCCCACAGTTACAAGTATTTCAAGGTCAATTTATCAATTTAACAGCTTCATCTTCTTAATCACTAAACTTCTGTCTCTTTGAGCTTGTGCTGAAAGACTGTGGCTGCTAATTAAAATGGAGCTTTACTAGCAAGTACACAAATTAGATCCTGTCAGTAAGTTTATTCTAACTATTGGTCATTTCTAAATGCCTTTTTAATCCCCTAATTTTTACATTAAAATTCAAAAGCCTAACAATCTTAATCACCCCTACATCAAATTCATCATTAAGAACAGGAAGCCAGATGGTATAATTTTGATTTACCGGACTTCAGCGTGAATTAATGTACTGAGTGCCGATAATGAATACATCAAACCTGATATTGCAGAAACCTATGAATCTGGCATGTTAAATTAATAACACACTCTGCACAATGAAAGCATGTAAGCTCATATAAAACTGAGGAGTAATGGGCCCTTTTATTTTAAATGGTCTTTATTAGCCTTCCGTTTTGACTCTTAAGAAAAAGATGAGCATTTTGTTTAGTAGTATACTTGTTCATTGTACAACTATTTTTCCCCAATGTAATACAACATGAACAAAATTGGGATGATTAATAACAAAGCTAGTATTGAAAAATTTGCTTGAAGATTCCTCAGAACAGCTACTAGCTCTGCATTTATTTTGGGAATTGTACATATTAGAAAGAGTTGGGAAATTTCTGGAAAACATTACGTATGTAAAATGTTACTGTTTTCTTATACTGGACCAATTGTTCATAATATATACACCTAGAAATTCCTCTTATATAGTAAGCTTTTCTAAAGCAGGTACATGCTATTTTATTCCTTATTGTTTCATTACCCCTAAAGATGTACTGTTTTATAACTATAAATTAAATAGAATCCATAGCCAATTGTACAAATCATATGTGCAAAAGAATACTAATAATAAACGATCGCAGAGTTGCTCACTGTATTGAAAACGTCGACATCTGAAGTAAATTGAAGTTTTGTTTCGTGATAATGCTTATAAATGCTTCTGCTAATTTATTTACATGTTTTTGTTAAATATATTTTCATTTTTATAATTTATAGAGAATACCAACTGTTGTTAAGAATTACCAGGATAAAAGATAAAATATCTTCATCAATTAAGTGAAAAAATCTGGAGAGTAAAATTAGGACCTAAAATATATATATTTTTGGGCAACTTAGAGTTTGTACAAAGTAGTGTCATCCAAGCAAGCGAGAAATACGTATTATTTCCGTCTGAATTTTCCAAAATGCAGGATTTATTAAATCAAATTGTGACTGTTCTTTAAGAACGGTCGGGAGTTTTTCTTTCATAGGAGCAGCAGGATTACAAATTGGCTGTCCGATATGAGCCTGAAAATGGCCCTGTGTAATATACTTTGTAAATGAAGTCTTTTAAACGCTTGAAGTGGTTTTGCCTTATATTCCTAATACATATCAATAGGAAGATCCAGAAATGTGGAGGGGAGCAATCTTTGCTTTTGACTCAACACTATCTATAATGGTATTTGAAGAAGGTGAAAATGCCTATTTTACTTTTAAAGTGGTGATAGGTGACCAAACGCTGCAGGTTAACAACATGAGCTGTCTCTCAATTGCACAGACCTTCGTTTTTCACTGCTGGGTAGGTGTGCCAAATATTTCAGCAGCCTGCCTCTGAAATGAAGGCAGTGCCACAAATAGGATAATGTTCAAAAAAATGGTACAAACCTTACACTAAGTGCTATTTTCTAGATAACATTGCTCATTGGTTCAATCCATACTCACACTTGCAAGACAGTATAGAGCATAATTTGTATCTCTTAGAGATACAGTGCTAAGATTTATTACAGAAAAGAGAAGGGATGTATTAGGGTTTTATCTTAAGGGTAGGGAAAATAAAAGCA